>NC_000006.12:9756969-9908484 GCF_000001405.40 Homo sapiens | reverse complement strand
AGAATATTCTTTTCCATTCATGAAAATGAGGTGACAAAGATCACACATGCAGTTCCATTTAGATTTTGCAGCTTACAATTTAAATGGTAAGTTTTAACCACTAACAACTTGATGGGCAGCGAAGGTAATTTTTCATCAAGGACAGTGGGCTGGTCAGATGGAAGAAGCAGCGATGTGCTTTCATCTGATGCTACCGTGAGCAGTTTGATGCCATCATAAGGCCCATGTATGTGTCTGAGGAGTGTCATCACCTTCAAATGTATCTCTGCTTTTTGAATTTAAAATGAGCATTCTTCAACATATTGCATCTAGCATGTGAGATTTCCATATCCTGTGATGACTGAATTTCTTTCCTTGAATTCATGGAACCACCACCTAACTTTTGAGAATTACGAAGGGGAAGTGACATGATAACAATTTCCTCTTCTATAATCTCGAATACTAGTTGCGGTTCTAAAGTAACAATTCAAAATTGCTCAAGTGCATAATATTATGCATATTTTATAGTTTACAAAATAGGGTTTTTATAAAGGTTATTGATGAGATATTGACAATGACAAATGTTACTTAGAATCAGCTGCAGTCCAGATCATATCCCACCAGTGGGTGCCAGACATTGAGTCTGCACCTTTTAATAAAAGACTAGGGTAAATTCTCACAAAAAGGACTCAAGCATAGTGCAAAGGTTATTTTATAAAGTAGCTCTCAATAACCTGTTTTTAAAAGATGCAGAATCCACAGATATTATCAAAAGACCTATGTGCAAGATAAGACAAGGACTTAGTCTCAGAGTCAGTTTTCACTGGTAGCTCAAAAGCCAGGGTGGATGTGAGGCTGGAAAAGTTCAACCTTCTATTTACCCAAACACACTTGGAGGGTAAGAGACAATTCTAGTGATTTCTGGGGAGGGGTGTTGATTGAATTACCACTGAAGTCTTTTAAATTTCTTAGGAATCACAATATATAGTTATATTTGGTGGAATGTTGAGAATGCAAGGACTCCCTAATTTGGGAAAGGTGACTTAATAAGTTGTGTTCAATGAATAAGGAATGGTTCTAACTACAGACAGGTAAGTTTTATGAAATATTGCTGGTCACCTTTTCCCCTTCCCTAGTCAGTTATTATTGTCAGACTCCCACAGCTAACATGGGGTCCCCTGTTTCAGAGCAGGAAGCTCTTTCTGTGTATTTACCCGCAGCCAGCTCTGTGCTGGTGTGTGCTGCGGGAGGTGGGGCCTGGCCCTCTTGCCAGCTGTGGCTTCCACCTTTCTACTGAGTCTCGTTTCTAATGAGCTCCTTCGCGATTGTTTTTTATTTCCTCCACTTCCTTCTAATTGTCTTCCCGCTTTTTCATCTCTTCTGCTTTCATTATTTCCCCTCGTTTCTTCCTCAGTGTTTTTTCCCTCTTCTTTCTGAAGTTCCTTCTTAACTACAAGGTGCATTTTATATATATTGGAAACAGTTTTTAGATTTATTTTGAGACAGGATCTCACTCCATTTACCCAGGTTGGAGTGCAGTGGCATGATCACGGCTCCCTGCTGCCTCAACTTCCTGGGCTCGGGTGATTGTCCCACTTCAGCCTCCCGAGTAGCTGTGACTACAGATGTGCACCACTACACCTAGCTAATTTTTTGCTTATTATTATTATTTTTTTAGTTGAGATGGAGTTTCACCATGTTGCCCAGGCTGGTCTCAAACTCCCGGGCTCAAGCAATCCACCTGTCTCGGCCTCTTAAAGTGCTGGGATTACAGGGGGTAAACCACCATACCTGGCCTTTAGATTTCTTTTTCTCTCAAAATAGGTAAGGATTTATGTATCTTCATTTCATCTATCCAGGCTCTTTGTTTCTCATGCTATGGCTTAGGAACTCATGGTTGAAAAACAGGCTTTCTCCATTCTCCTAGATTTTCTATAAGTTATGTTTTGTTACCCTGGAACCCTGTGTATTCACATGATATAAATGAGATGCAATGGGCCAAATGTGACTGGTAAAAGATCAGTCTCCTCTATATTTCTGCCACCTTCTAGGGTGTTTCCATGAACAAAAGGCCCATTCCTAATAGCTAAGCCCTACTCTGCTTATGGTATCAAGAAAAGAAAATATAATGGAAACTCTATGAGGGAAGGAATTCTATGCATCTTATTCATTGGTTGCTGTATATTCAGCACTTAGTGTCTCACACATAATATGTATGTGACACATATTTGCCCAAAATCCAATGAATAATGTAGAGTCCTGCACTTTTATATTAACCCATAAACTTCATGTGACCAGATACTAGATCTGTCAAGATTAGTCTGATATTCATCATACAGTGAGCTCCATTTTCTAACATTCCATTATCAAAGATAACAAGTTCACATCAGATATTTGAAAATATTTTTGGGGAAAATAAGTAATTGCTCTCTGACAAGGGTGTTTTGTGATGTGCTAACTTTCCCTGGATCATATCTGACTCTCTATAAACTACCGTCATGATAGATTGGCTTTAAATTGTCCAGTTTCACCAGTGGAAATTAGTTTTTGTAAATCCACTTAAAGGGTCCTATTTCCAGAAATATTCTTATATATATATAAATATATAAAATATAATATATAAATATATATAATATATAACATACTTCTATATTATATATTGTCACTTGTAATATATAAGTAATATATAATATAATAATATAGTAATATTATACTACATTTTTAAAAAGAGGACTTATTTGGCTGGGTATGGTAGCTTACACCTGTAATCCCAGCACTTTGGGAGGCCGAGGCGGATGGATCACCCGAAGTCAAGAATTCGAGACCAGCCTGGACAACATGGTGAAACCCATCTCTACTAAAAATACAAAACTAGCTGGGCATGGTGGCATGCACTTGTAATCCCAGCTACTTGGGAGGCTGAGACAGGAGAATCACTTGAACCCAGGAGGCAGAGGTTGTAGTGAGCTGAGATTGCACCATTGCACTTCAGCCTGGGAAACAGAGTGAGACTCTGTCTCAAAAAAAAAAAAAAATGACATATTTGAGGTGGGATCAAGTATTCACAGTCACTTGGGGTTTCTTCTGATAATGGCTTCCACTGGTGAATTCCTTCAGTGTAAAAACACAGCTATTGACCAAAAGCCTTTTATTGGCCAGTTTTGAGATTCAGTCCCATTGTCCAAGTGGTGGCAAAACATGAAACATCTCAATCGTATGACAATATCTTTCAGAGTTGTAATAGGAGAACAGAAGAAACAAGAAGATGCGGGTATGCAGAAAGAGAGCTCAGCTCAGTGCCCCCTGATAAGATGAGTCCTCAGCCTTGAGTCTGCAATTCATAATGTCCTCTTTTTCTTTTTGCCTGGTACTCACACCTGCACCGTGACTCCATTTAGGGGTCAACCAGTGCTAATTAGCAATATTTCCACTTTCTCTGTGGCATGGAGTTAGAGGTTACGCAGACACGTAACATCAGAGCTGCTGGGAGGGTCCGAGAGAGGGGCAGTCTGAAGCAAGCTGCAGTTCACAGCATTTCGTGTGGCAGAATTTTGGGAACACCCCAAAAGTCTTGCTTGCACCCATCTATCTTCACTTTGGTTGAGGTGTTTTTGTTTGTTTGTTTTTTTACAGGCTGGAGTTGCAGTGGCATGATCTCAGCTCACTGCAACCTCCATCTCCCAAGCTCAAGTGATCCTCCCACCTCAGTCTCCTGAGTAGCTGGGACTACGGCACACGCTACCATGCCTGGCTAAATTTTGCATTTTTTGTAGAGATGGGGTCTTGCTGTGGTGTTCAGGCTGGTCTCAGACTTCCGGGCTCAAGCAATCTGCCTGCCTCAGCCTCCCAAAGTGCTGGTATTATGAGCCACTGCAGCTGGCCTGGTTGAACTCTGTTCTTATATTTATTTGTTTATAATCTGTACTTTACTTCCAAAACAATTTGAGGTAGCCTACAACAGAAGCAGAAATGCACATAATTATAGAAAAGTTCAAGTAAAGATGAAGGGGGGATTTGAGAACACCTGCAAAAAAACACAGGACAATATTGTTACCATAATTAAGCACTCATTTTTACATTGAGCTTCCTGGAAGTAATGGTATAAAGAGAAAGATCATAAGTAGGTTACTTCCTATGTTTAATAGAAATTATACTCTATTTTCAATGTAAATAACCCAACACCAGCATGATTTTTTTACACTAATTTTGGAAGGGTAATATGATGTTCATTTGTATATGGTAGAGAGTAGAAATCGCAAAATACTTTATTATTAATTACCATTAAATGCCTTTTACTTAATATAGAATACAGATTTCAGTGCTACTATGTAGTAGGTGCGTAACATTTTATTATTTTCCAATTTTGCATATGACCTGATGTAGGTAATAATAGCTTGTAGATTAGTCAGAGTTCTCCAAAGAGGGATAACCACCTGGATGACCTTTTTGACCCTCTTCCAGAATAATGTTTTAATAGTGTGTGTGTGTGTGTGTGTGTGTGTGTGTATGCATGTGTTTTGCAGGGGGTGACGACATGGCCTTAATGCTTTAAATTCACAAAAGAAGTTAGAATCCCTGTATTTCCTACTATATTGCAATAGCACATATAAAATAATCCAGAACCATCTAACTTTGTTGTTCCTTATACATAAATAGTAAAAAAATGATATATAGAGAGTAGCTAATGGAAAACACTCATTCATTTTGATCACTTGTGTATTCTATTGCATGTTTTAACAAACCAAAATGGGTTATTCTGAAATGATTCTTGAGTAATAGATGGCATAATTCATTGAACATGAGATCAGTTTTAATGGAGAAGTATCCTATTATGCATGCCTTGCAATATACATTTTAAAATCATTGTTCTAATGATATTTATTTATAAAAGGGTTTTCTTTTTCAGAACAAGGCAGCATATTGAGTAGAAATTTTGTCTATGAACCAGAATATAACTAAATAGCCATAATGATTAATAATTTCTTTTTGTAATTATGTTTGCACATCTATAAATTAATTGATGAGAAAGTTATCATGCACATGTTCTTTTAACACTCCCACAAGATGACGATAGAATTTTCTATAATCGATTAACGAAGCTTTTTGATGAGAGCAGACAAGGAGAACCCCAAGGTAAGAGACCAATTATCTTCAATCTTTTGTTTTAATATTAGTTGTAAATTGATTGAAATGGTTTCTTGCAAATGCTCACCTATCTTTTCTAAATATAACCATTCACTGATAACCTACGTGAGCTTTTGATTGTTGTAGATATTTAAATGTAGCTGAAGTTTAGGGGAAAAGTAATTATGACCCAATTTCCTATAATTGCATACAATTTATAACCCTAAATGGTGAAAATGATTTAAGATTTACTGTTGAAGGATCTTAAAATGGCATACAGCATACTTGGATTCACTAATTTATGAGGCTATGTGCTACTCTTTTTAAAGACTGGTCTTAGCTTTTGAACAAATGCTTTGGGGTGGTAGAAGGCAAATAGTATATTGTTCTCAACCTTAGTATGGAAATTCATATTTGCAAATGTTAGGCTCTTTAAGTAAAAACTTATTTTATGTATTAAACTAAGAATTTAAAGGTAACATTTAAAAAACTCAATTCTAAATTCTTAGTTTAACACATATAAATTCATGCCAGAACCATATTACAGTTTTTACCAAAGAATTAAATATAAGTTGCTGTATATTTCATGGGGAATAATTCTATTATTATTATGTTTTTACTGTATGTGCTTAGTGCTTCTCAATCATTTTGTCTTCCTTATTATAATAACTCCTCAAAGCATATAATAGGAGAGGGCTGATCATGATAAAGTCTTCTAATAGTTATTATTTCTATTAAATTTATGCTTAGACTTCATCATTTACTAGCTGTGTGACCCTGGACCAATTAATTAACCTTTCTTTGTCATTTTTGCCAAATGAACATATAACACCTGTCATATGGAGTAGTTATGAGGACTAAATTATTATTACATGAGCAGATGTGACACCTAGAATAATAAAGATAGTAACAGTAATCCTGCTGGTGAAAATATTAATGCCAGTTAAACATTTGAGTCCTTCCTAGGTGCCTGGAACTGTCCTAAGCAGTTCTAAATAATTCACTTGTTTAAACTTCATAACAACCTTTAAAGGTTAGTCCCCATTTTTATCCCCATGTACAGTATAATACCCTTCAAAATTTTATTCCTGCTTGGGTACACCTCCCCTTTACTTTTTTGCTATCAGTTTGTGTGGTCAACCATTTATTACTTTTTGCCTTTATAAACAAAGCAAACTCAGTTTTCAAGCCACCTCATTCTGAGGGATCCCAAGTTCAAATGGTGTATTAGAATTATCCAGAGAAGTGGAATCCAGTTGGTTTGATAATATATAGAGAGGCATTTATTTTAAGAAATTGCTTCACTCCGTAGCTGGGATAGCAAGTCTGAAATCCTTCAGACAGGCTGGCAGGCTGGAGAATCAGGTAAGAGTTGATGTGAAATTCAGGCAGGAGTTGAAATTGCAGTCTCGCATCTGAATTCCACAGGCAGCAGTCTGGAAACTCAGGTAGGGGTTGATGTTGGAGTCTTGAGACTGAAATGCGTGGGGCAGGCCAGCAGGCTGGAAATGCAACCAGAGTGTCTACGCTGTGGCCTTGAGACTGAATTCCTTCTTCTTTGGAAAGCCTCAATCTATATGTTTAAGAACTTCGACTGATTGGATGAGGCCCACAAACATTGTGAAGAGTAATCTGCTTTACTCAAACTCTACTGATTTAAATATTAATCACATCTAAATACACCTTCACAACAACATCTAGATTGGTGTTTGGGCAAACAGGTGGGCACCATAGCCTGGTCAAGCTGATGCTTAAAATTAAGCATCATAAATGGTTATGCTTAAGTCAGGCCTTTCTGTGTTTAGTCTAACTTCTGAGTCAGCAAACCTATTGAATACCTTTTAGTGCTGCTGTTTCTTTTCCATTCTGATGGCTTTTTCAGCTTGGATCCTTTGAAACCACCCAAGTCACACATTTACAGATAGCATCTAATAGATCTTCGGAAATCATTTATGGACTTACAAAAGTCTCATAGAATTTATAGAAGAGGCATTTTATGAACTATTTTATAGAAGAGGATGTAGCTGAGACTTAGAAAGTATAAAGTCTTATGCAAAGTAATATGGTGCATCAGGGAGCATAGAACAAGGCCAGTGGGCCTCTGGACACTAACTCAGTGCTTTCTCCAGCATGCCATCTCATTTCCTCCTGCAAAAGAAGCTCTCTTCTCATGATTCTTGTTAAAATTCTAGAATAGGAGACGTGGAAAATTTCGTATTATACCTTCCAGCATTTTTTACAGACTGGAAGAAGGAAGATCATTTTCTATTTACAGCATGCATCTGGCTGGATGAATAGATATCTTTTGTACATGATACTGTTTTCAGGTGATAGTGAAGTAAAGTACACATACCATTTATATAAATGCTGGCATTTCTATGCAAATAAACAAGGTAGCCCAAATAAAGTGCCTCTGTGTGCAGAGCTCAGGAAATGTTCTCAGAGATCCTAAGGTGGGAAAATGAACCAGAGAGCTCTGGCTTCTTCTAAGCCTATTCATCTCCTAAACTGGTTACAGCAACACAGTGAGTAAGTGGTAAGATGTTGGAGTAAACAACATGTAATATTAACGTACAGAAAAGCACAGTATCCACATTTCAAGATATATTTGGTAACTGGGAAAAAGGCTTAAATGTATAGCTGTACTTTGTTGAGTTTGTAAACATTATGGGATAAACAAAGGTGGTGGTGGTTGTTTTTTAATCTTCAAACTTCTGTGCTTTAGTTGTTTTCCAGTACATGAAATAGAAAATAATTTGCTAGTTGGTCGATTATGAAAAAACCAAACTTTACTGCATATAAGAAAATCAGTGATGAGTCTATTGTGTGTTTAGTCAACATTAAATTGACAAAAACAAGTGGAATTCCATGTGATTTTCTTGGGGTAAACAGATGAGAGTGGCCGGGAGGAGACTCTGAATTCTGAAGCACCTGGGAGTTCCAATAAGAGTCACGAAATCCACAAAGAAGCCAGCGAAGCCACCACTGCTCACCTTGAGGAGTTCCAAAGATCTCAGAAAACTATAATTCTGCTTGGAAGTTCTCCATTAGAACAGGTCAGCATTAAGAGTATATTGAGAAATGTAAGATAATCTCTCTTTTTCAAATGACAAGTTGAAGTGTCAGGCCTACACATGGTCTACCGATTTTGCTTACCAGCACACTGTTCCTAGAACACACACTAGTTATGACTTCATTGAGCCATTTCCTTATTTTTTATACACATTGTAAAATGTGTAGGCAGAAGTTACGCTCCTTATCGATATCCTTACCCACCCTGGATATTGATAAGGAGCATAATTACTGCCTACACGTTTTACAAAGTGTGTGAAATTTAGTTTGTACAATTTACTTCCATTATCTGGTTTTATTTTGTGTTAGAGAGCTTATTTCTAGTGTATTATGAATTACTGATAATAAAACCTGAAACCAGCATACATTTACTTGGAAAAACTAAGAAACTGCTTGGACTTATTTGCAAAAGCACTGTATTACTACATGAATATTCTAGCATTTCTAAAGTCACTATTTAAGGAACTTGGGCATTCTAACTGTTGTGACTTGTGCCACACAAGAGTCTTTAGCCATTAGACTATCTTGACTTCAGAGACAATCTGATTTCTCCTCTGATTTCTGTATCTGTAGGTTCTATTTATGTGTAATGTGGCATTATGTGCTCTGAACCACCAGATAGAGAAGTGATAAAAATAAAAGAATCTTACATGTCTAGCTCCAGGCATATGTGTGTGTGTGTGTGTGTGTGTGTGTGTGTGTGTGTGTGTGTGTGTGTTGTTTTGTGAAAGGTAAGTAGATTCAGGCTAAAGAGGAAAAAATTCGTCAGATGAAAAAGACTATTATCAATGAGATCTTTTATAACAACAGGTCACAAGTGGAGATATTTGCAACTTGAGAAGAGATAGGAATAGCTTAGGTGGGGGGTGGGGGGATATCCTCTAATTTGGAGTATGGAAATTCCATAAAACTGTTTCATATCTTCCTTTGTGCCAAATAGGTCTGAATATTGTAGACATATTAAGGTTGTGTCTATTTTGAACTTTCTCAAGCAAGTGACCCAAATTAGCAAATACAGTCTTCCTTAACAGAGCCACTTAGATGGCTCTGATAGTGGTTTGAATTGTGTTCTCCAAAAATGTGTACACCCTGGTATCTGGGAATGTGACCTAATTTGGAAATAGAGTCTTTGCAGGTATAATTAAGTTAAGGATCTCCAGATGAGATCATCCTGAATTTAGGATGGACCCTCAGTCCGATGACTGTTGTCCTTTTAAGAGAGAGGAGAGAGCGATTTGAGACTCAGACATGTGAAGGAGGCAGAAATTGATGCATCTACAAGCAAAGGACCGCCAAGGATCGCCACAGTTGCCAGCAGCTAGGAGAGAGGAATGAAATGGATTCTCCAGAGAGTCTAAGGAAGCCCCCACCCTGAGAACACTTTGACTTCAGACCTCTTGCCACCAGAACTCTGAGACAATAATTTCTGTTGTTTTCAGCTGTCATGTTTGTGATAGTTTTTTTGTGGCAGCAGTGGGCAATTAATACAGTTCCTGGGGTGGTTGATCTCACTGGCTAGGCTTTACTTCACTCATGTGTTAACCCTGCCACACATCTTTATGAAGACAGGGCTCTCAAAGGACATGGAGGCGAAAAGGATGCATGGCTCTGCCTTTGCACATAACCCTTTTTAAAAACAACTGTGGCCAGGCACGGGGGCTCATGCTTGTAATCCTAGCACTTTGGGAGGTCGAGTCAGGCAGATCACGAGGTCAGGAGCTCAAGACCATCCTGACCAACATGGTGAAACCCTATCTTTACTAAAAATACAAAAATTAGCTGGGTGTGGCGGTGCTCACCTGTAGTCCCAGCTACTTGGGAGGCTGAGAGAGGAGAATTGCTCAAAGCCGGGAGGCAGTGGTTGCAGTGAGCCAAGATCACGCCACTGCCCTCCAGCCTGGTGACAGTGAGACTCTGTCTCAAAACAAACAAACAAGGCCGGGCACGGTGGCTCACGCCTGTAATCCCAGCACTTTGGGAGGCCAAGGCGGGTGGATCATGAGGTCAGGAGATGGAGACCATCTTGGCTAACACAGTGAAACCCTGTCTCTACTAAAAATACAAAAAAGTTAGCTGGGTGTGGTGGCATGCGCCTGTAGTCCCAGCTGCTGGGGAGGCTTAGGCAGGAGAATGGTGTGAACCTGTGAGTCAGAGCTTGCAGTGAGCTGAGATTGTGCCACTGCACTCCAGCCTGGGTGACAGAGCAAGACTCTATCTCAAAAACAAAACAAAACAAACAAACAAACAAAACAATTGTTTTTCAGATGTGTATTGATACATTAACAGTTCATTTCCAATTTTTTTTTTTTTGCACCATACAGTGCCATTGTATCTGTTTCAATTTGCATCATGTTTTTGATCATGAATACGTGGATTTCTTTGGAATATGTGGCTAATATTTTTTATTTTATTTTATTTTATTTTATTTTATTTTATTTTATTTTATTTTTGAGATGGAGTCTTGCTCTGTTCCCCAGGCTGGAGTGCAGTGGTGCCATCTTGGCTCACTGCAACCACCGCCTGCCAGGTTCAAACGATTCTCCTGTCTCAGCCTCCCGAGTAGCTGGAACCTCAGGTGTGTACCACCACGCCTGGCTAATTTTTGTATTTTTAGTAGTGATGGGGTTTCACCATGCTGGCCAGGCTGGTCTTGAACTCCTGCCCTCGTGATCTGCCCACCTCAGCCTCCCAAAGTGCTGGGATTACAGGCATGAGCCACCACACCTATAGTTAATATTTTAAAATCCTCATTCTGTGCAAGATAAGTTGAGGCATTCTGTACAAGATAATTTAAATCCTCATTCTGTACAAGATAAGTTGAGGTTAATATTTTTAAATCCTCATTCTGTACAAGATAAGGTGAATGCTCACCTGCTACACTGTTGTGAGGCTATCATTCAAAGGCCAGCACAGTGTCTAGGAGTTCAACACAAGTAGAACTCAAGCCTGCATTTTTACCACTTGTTAGTATTAGGAGACAGTCCACACATTCGGGAGAATTCAAGTCTTCTGCAGATATGACCGTGATTCCCTTTAAACACTGAAATTTGTGATCCTGTTTCTTCTCCTAATCAATATGTCTTAAATTATGTGAAATTCGACCTAAACTGACTGGCTGAATAATTGCAAGAGAAATCATGTGCTGACCTATGAACACAGATTCATATGACAGAGTCGTATGGGGGAAGGAGGCTGAGCTGGAGTCAGACCTCTGTTGGGGCCATGGCTTTGCCACTCACAGGGTGTCAGATCATAGGCAAGTTACTTAACTTCCTTGACCTCAGTTTCCTCCTCTGTAATTCACAGGAAATTAGATCTACTTCATTGCATTGTATGGAGGATGAGATGAGTCATCCATGGATACTCTTGCTCAAAGTAACTGCTGTAATCAGAAGCAGGAGGTACTATAGAGAGCAAAGATTCTAAAACCCATTCTCAGGTCAGTGCTCGCAATGTTCTTATGTTCACTGTGTCGGGAAGTTCCATGAACACACAAGGCAACATCATAAGTAGGAAAAACCTTCAGATTTGGTGTTAGAACTCAGAGCTGTCATCCTTGATTCAGATATTTATGTGAACTTAAACCTCTTTGTAAAATAGCGCTAAATAATTTGAACCTCTTATGGGTGTGTGGGGATTGAGATGTGTCCAAGTGTGTGGCAGTTAACGTTTTATGTTTCTTGCTACTCATTTTCTATATTTGTTGAGACCATTACCTATTCTTACTTTCTATTGCTATTGTAATGGTGAACTGATAATTACATAAGGCAAGATGTTTAAATGGAGATGCGGGCCATCCCAGCTGGGGTGAGTGTTGTTGGCTGAGTCTCTTCTCCTAAACTACTTATCTATAACTGTTGATTTATATGGTGACTGGAGTGATTGCTTCTCATCCTAACATATGGAGAACCTGGGATGATAGAAGAATTCAGATTGTAAAAAGAGATGGGGCCCTTGACTAAGGTTACCAGTGAGACTGAGCTGGGAATTGTCTAGTACAGTGGTTATTATTTGAACACTCATTAGATTTAGAGATCCTGATAGTTGATGTACATCTTGGAGAAAATAAAAAGAGAAAAATCTCATATATACATCTATTGCATAGCGAAAGGATGCTGTTAGTAAACTTTGTGAAATATGAGTATCCAAGCACATCTACTGTGGGACCCCCATTTTTTTTCCCGTAGACAGAGTAGAACATAGAAAAATGAAGAGTTTGCCTTCTCACTTTGCAAAAGTATTGTGTGTGGTTGTGTATGTGCATGTCTGTGTATATGGTTGTGTGGGTGCGTGGATGTCTATGCCTGTATGGTTGTATCTTTGTGTATGTGTGTGTGTGCATGAACGTGGCTGTGGATGTGTGTGTTGGGGCAGAGAGTGTTGCAGAGTCCAGTGGGACTGGCATCACTGAATTCCCAAGTATCCAGCATAGAACTGATGAGAAAATCACTCTGGAGTCGACCTTTAGTTAGCAGGGGTGACAGCAATGTCAGCAGTGATGTAATCATTCCTGAAGCTATAGGAAGCATCAGCCAGGACTAATATGTGAGCTAATGTAAGTCACCCACTGAAGACTCCAGAAGTACCTGGAGAAGAACTTCTCTGCTGGCTGAGATCTCATGATAAAGGCAGACATCTGGCCTTAGGTAAGACGAATGTGATAGGTGAACATGATAACCACAACACTACAGAAACTTAAAAAAATCTGGTCACTTAATGTGACCACTTTTTATTGCACAGGTATCAGTCTACATGGGATAGGCGGGTTCTGTAAGTATCTTGAAAAGGTGCTGTGGCTGATGCTTCCTGTCTAAGGCCATCAAGGCAGCAGGGTATCACCTGACATGGTTTGGGCCTGTATCCCCACCCAAATCTCATCTCGAATCGTAATCCCCACATGTCAAGGGAGGGACCTGGTGGGAGGTGACTGGATCATGGGGACGACTTCCCCCATGCTGTTCTTGTGACAGTGAGTGAGTTCTCACAAGATCTTGTGCTTTAAAGGGGTTTGGCAGTTCCCCTCAGCTCTTTCTCTCTCTCATGCTTTGACATCATAAAACACGCCTTGTTCTCCTTCACCTTCCAACATGATTGTAAGTTTCCTGAGGCCTCCCCAGCCATGTGGAACTGTAAACCTATTAAACATTTTTTTCTTTGTAAATGACCCAGTCTCAAGTCTGTCTTTATAGCAGTGTGAAAATGGACTAATACAGTATCCCAGAACATGATGAGAGTAGAAGGAACAAAACCAAGAGTGAGGAGGATGAGAGGGGAAGTGGGGAGGTAACACTCTCAGAGTCAACTGACAGCATCCCACTTCAAGGGCCATCCAAATGATGCAATATCATTTTTATTCTTATCATAGGACCAATTGAGTTGCCTAAGTATAGAAAGCTACTTTAGAAATATTTGTGCTGACTTTTTATATCCCACTGACATTGGAAAGCTTGTAAGAAAGATGTTATGAAGTGACTTAGGTCTGACAATTATCTAGTAAAGAATAAAATTAATTGATTAAGTGCATAGTTTTAATAAATTTAGTCACAGAGGAAATTATTGTTTTTCAAATATGTATTTAATTAGAAATAAAATAATTTTATTTTGCATGTTAGCTACCAGGAGGAAATGTTTTCCTGGACATTCCCTAATATCTACTGTGTGCTATGTACCTGTTCCTAATCAGTTGCAGATAACTAGGTTTTCCTCTGAATTTTAATTGTGAACAATCCATACATTTAGTTTATTCAATTAGGAAACCATGATTTAAGGAGGTTTTTTTTTTGTGATTAATGAGTAGTGTTTTTTAAGGTTTTGTCTTGATTTAATAAATAAAATGTAGCATTTAGGCTAATGGTGGAATAAATATGCTAGCCCAGACTAAGTAGATGCCAGAGAAACATTCTGAAAAAAAACTAGTATATACTGGCAGTTAACCCTACTTTTCCAAATTCTTCATAACTTCCTGGCATTTGGCAGTAGGCGTGACTCAAATCTAACATTGTGAAGTGAGTGAATGTCAAGTTTGAGATCAGATACTTGGATATAGGAGAAATTTTAAAATGTAAAATCCGTAATAAAATCTATGTAAATTCAAGATGAATTTCATAAGGTACTTTAACAGATTAATCATTATATTTTCTGTAAGAAGAAACATATATTCTACTCTGTGGTTAGTATAGAAAACATTTTGGAGGGAAAATTGATTTTCAAAAATCATTTGAGACATTTACATGATTTTTTAAAACTTAACCAATATAGTAGCTCATATACCATCCCTTAAACATTATATTAAGTATAAATGCAGATATAATTTAAAAATTTAATGAATGAAACTATAAAAGGCAAAAAGGCAGGAGCACAAGTATTTTATGGTAAAAAAAAACTGGTAATTGTCCATATTTTACTTTAAGGGAAATGATAATGGCACTGCCATTCTGTATAGTTTGCAAGTTTCCGTCATATTCTTTGCCTCTTGTGAGGTGAGCAAGAAAAATGCCCTATTATTATAAATATGAAAGAATCTCTAGAGGACAGAAATATCATTTTACATTTAAAAGGCTCACAATTTTAACCAAAAGCTTTTAACACTTGGCTTTCTTTTCGTTTATTATTTTATCTATATTTTTAAATTCCTTGTTTGCCACTTAATATACCTTTTTTCCTTTTTTTTTTTTTTTTTCCAGAGTCTCGCTCTGTTGCCTAGGCTGGAGTGCAGTGGCACAATCTCGGCTCACTGCAACCTCTGCCTCCCAGGTCCAAGCGATTCTCCTGCCTCAGCCTCCCAAGTAGCTGGGATTACAGGCGCCCACCACCACGCCCGGCTAATTTTTTTTTTTTTTTTTTTAAAGTAGAGATGGGGTTTCACCATGTTGGCTAGGATGATCTCAAAATCCTGACTTCAGGTAACCCACCCGTCTTGGCCTCCCAAAGTGCTGGGATCACAGGTGTGAGCCACAGCACCCACCCTATTTGGCATACCTTTTGAGCTGCCCAGAATACTCTGGAGACACTTGGATAAAGACATTCTTGCCAAAGCTGACTGGAATTCCAAGAGAAGCAGGCTACCGTTGAGAACGAATAAACATATTTTAGTGTCATTATCTTTGCTTGGAAAATTATTTAGCAGTGACAATTTTGTATTTACTTAGTATCAGGTCACATTCTATAAGCACCTCTAGGTGAAAAGTTTTTGTTTCATTTGGAAAACAAAAAGGATGCTATTTTGTTACTTTTTTCATTATGATTTATTTTATATACCATCTTTTTTTTCTTCTGCAATTGGTAGTATTTTTAGTTAATGTTGGAACACAAAATAGTCTCCATTCTCCTTTCCAATATTAGGAGCTATGAAGTTGAGGCAACTGAGGTTACTGAAGAAATTTTATATCATTTTAAAAAATGTGTGGGTTCACAGCATAACAGCAATCTGTGAATGAGTGAAGCAATTGATTCTACAGTCTTTCAAAATAGGATGGTCCAAGCATGTATCCTTGGTGGTCAGGCACCGTCCAAGGATAACATTTTATGTATTTATAGGTGAGATGGGCTGATTATTCTTCAGTGAACATAACTTCTTAGAACTGAAATTCAGTACAAATAGATTGTCAGAGAATTTAAGGTTGTATTATTAAATAAGAATCAGAAGGGCAGAAATTCTTTATTTCTGATTGGGGCAGTCACATTTGTTTACTACTCAACTAAGTCTTAGGGTATGGTTGTTTCATGGGTTCTTATGGAAGTTCAGGAGCCAGAGAGGGCAGGAACCAGAATAGGAAGCCACCTACCTCTGCATGGACTGGGGCAAAAGAAGAATGTGTGTTGTCATTATTGGGAGTAGAGTAAGTCCTCACTTATGTTGTCAATAGGTTCTTGGAAACTGCGACTTTAAGTGAAATAACGTATAAAAATTAATTTACCATAGGCTAATTGATAGAAACAAGAGTTAAGTTCCTATGGCATATTTCTAGTCACAAATACATCACCAAACATCTAAATAAAGACCAAAACACTTACAATTTTAAGCATTGAAATAAATGTAGGCTATACATATGTTTAAGAAAAATTATTAAAAATGAGAAATATTGGCTAAATAAGAAAAAATAATCCCACTTATTCCAGTTTAGGGTGGAAGGTAGCTGGAGTCTTGTCCCAGCAGCTCAGGGCACAAGGTAGGACCCAGCCCTGGACAAGACACCATCCCATTGCAGGCTGCATTCACACACACCCACACTCACCCACACTGGGACAGTGTAGACACACCAGTGAACCTAATGGGCACATGTTTGGGATGTGAGAGGAAACAAGAGGACCCAGAGAGAACCCACACAGATATGAGAAGAACGTGCAGATTCCACACAGGCAGTGGCCCCGGCACGGAATTGATTTTCTTTGTTCTTGTTGTAATGAAGTGACACTGACTGAAACATTATTTGGGGAAACTGCTGTGTAGGTTTCCGTGTTCTCATAAAACCACACGGAGGAAAACGAAAAATAGGAGAACGGAATAATCGTTAGTAGATTTGCGTATCTGATTAAACTTGCAGATCCTGAAAGTTGGGTATTTAAAATTACAGTAAAATAGTTCTTGACTTACCTCCAGCTCTTCTTTATTTTTCATTTATATATGGGTCACCACCAACAATGATCAAAATATTTCCTCAAAGTTCAAGGCAAGCTCAATTGGCTGCCAATTAGCCTTTTGGTGAGAAGTCTTCTGAGCTTTAATAAACCAAATAAACATTTCTGAGATAATATTAACACGTGAATTTTTGGTTTTTGTTTTAGAGCAAAACGTCTACTTTTTATAAAACTTTGCTGCAGTTTCTCCATACTGAGTATGCCACACTCAACATTATTTTATTATGCATAATTTAAAAACAAAACAACACCATTTTGACAAAGGATTGAATAAGTTCACCCTCTTCTTTGATTACTTATTTCTATATAGTTTCTGGTATAACTAAACTTTCTTGAGAAACTCAGCCCTCATTTATATATCAGCAATGGATTTATGAGCCTCAAACTGAAAACTCGTGCTGTGTAAGACAGAAATGAGAAACTGCATTGCTTTCAGGAGAAAGAAATTCCCATATCTGATATCAAACAAATCTAATAACACTTCAATAATAAAATCAAGGTACTTGTGCTATATTCCATGAGTTCATTCAGAGAAAGGGCTGTATCTTTTTATCTTCAGCACCAAGAACAGGGCCTGGCAGAAAACAAAGTTTATCTTCATTGAATGTTTGTTCAATGAATGAATGAAGGAATGAGTGCATGCTGCAGATAACTAGTATGGCAAAATTATCATGGATCTCGTTGGCTTACAAATGTTTTGTAGTATTAATTTTCTCTAATGCTGTTATAATGTCGTTATGTGGAGTGTTACGATTTGGTACTTTCATGTACATCAACTAAATTACTTTTTAAAATAAGTGTCATAGAATAGAGAAAAGGGCCCTTTAATAATATAATAGCTAACGTTCATTGCATACCTACTGACACTATTTAAGCGCTTTGCATAATTTAACCTCACGGCTCCCATACATGGATACTGTTATCACCCCCATCTTATAGAAGAGCAGCCTAAGGCACAGAAAGGCCAAGTAGCTTGGGAAAGGTTTTACAGCTAATAAGTTGCTGAGTCAGGATTATAACTCAATTTTAATCATCACAGGGTACACAGTTTTTAAAAAATATGGCTTTTTAATATAAAATTTTCTATCAATCATCTGCCACTTTACTTTTTGGAGGAAGTGACATTCTCAGGCCAATTAAGTGATTTTCACATACTTGAAATTATAGTAGAATATGGACCAACATATTTTATGAGGCAATTGATCACATTATTTCATCTGTATTTGGTAAACCATTTATAAGCCAGGGTTCTATGGAGAAACAAAACCAATAGAATGCACACACACACACACACACACACACACACACACACACACATCTATGAGGACATTTATTATAGGAATTTGCTCACACGATTATGGAGGCCAAAAAGTCCCATCAAGTGCTGTCTGCAACCTGGAACCAGAGGAAGCTGATGGTGTGATTCCCAGTTTGAGTCCAAACACTGAGATCCAGGGATAGCGGTGGTGGGGCTGCTAGAGTCCCCAAGTAAGTCTGGGAGTTCAAAGACCACGAAACCAGGAGCTCTGTTGTCTGAGAGCAGGAAAAGATGGATGTCCTAGCTCAAACAGAGTGAATTCACCATTCCTCTTGCTTTTTGTTCTATTCCAGCCCTCAATGGGTTAGATGCTGCCCACCCACACTGGCGAAGGCTATCTTTATAACTCAGTCTACTGATTCAAATGCTAGTCTCTTCTGAAAATATGCTCACAGACACACTCAGAAATAATGTTTTGCCAGCTATCAGGGTATCCCTTAGCCCAGTCAGGTTGACATGTCAATTTAACCATCACAAACCAAGAAAAACAAAGTTGGGAAATATTTACAATAGCTCGAAGACTCAGTGGTCTTCCTAGCAATTAAACTGGGAAAACAATGCCCAGTGCAGACTAAATTACAAAATAATCATCCCTTTATTTAAAAAATATTAATATTATTTTTGATTAACAAACAAAATTTTGTACATTTACAGGGCTCAGTGTGATGTTTTGATATGTGAATACAATGTGGCAGAATTAAACAAGGCTAATTAATGTAGCTGTCCTGTAGCTTATCTGTCTTTTTTAATGATGATACATTTGAAATTTGCTCTTATTTTGAAATATATAATACATTATTATTGACAGTAGTCACCCTGCTGTACAATACGTCTCAAAACCTATTCCTCCTGCCTATTTGAAACTTTGTACCCTTTGATCAACATCTCTCCTCTATTTTTCCCCTCCCTCACCTTCTGGTAACCAGTATTCAACTTTCTACTTCTATGAGTTTGACTTTCATAAAAGTGAGATCATGTAGTATTTGAATTTCTGTGCCTGGCTTATTCCACTTAACATAATGTCCTTCTGGTTCTCCCAGGTTGTCACAAATGACAGAGTTTCCCTCTTTTTTTAAGGCTGAATAGTACTCCATTGTGTATATATACCACATTTTTAAAGTCCATTTATTCATTGACAGATGCTTAGGTTGATGCCATTTCTTGGCTATTGTGAAGAATGTTGCAATAAACATGAGACTACAGATATCTCCTCAACAGACTGATTTCAGTTTCTTTGTATATGTACCCAGAAGTGAGATTATTTAATCATATGGTAATTCTGATTTTAGTTTTTTGAGGAACTTGTATACAATTTTCTGTAATGGTTGCACTAGTTTACATTCTTATCTATTAAGTCCTTATCAGGTGTACGGCTTGCAAATATTTACTTCTGTTGTATGGGTTGTCTCTTTACTTGGTTGCTTCCTTTGCTGTGCAGAAGCTTTTTTAGTTTGATGCCATCTCATTTGTCTGTTTTTTCTTTTGTTGCCTGTGCTCTTGTGCTTTCAGGGTCATATCCAAAAAATCATTGCCGAGACCAATGTTGTGGATATTTTCCCCTATGTTTTCTTCCAGTAGTTTTATGGTTGCAGGTTTTATATTTAAGTCTTGAATCTATTTTGGGTTGATTTTTAAATATGGTTTAAGCTAAGTGTTTAATTTTATTCTTCTGCATATGGATATCCAGGTTTCCCAATACCATTTATTGAAGAGACTGTCATTTCTTCATTGTGTGTTCCTAGCACCTTTGTCAAAAATCAGTTGACCTTAAAATACCTGGGTTTATTTCTGAGGTTTTTATCCTGTTCCACTGATTGATGTGTCTGTTTTTATGCTAGTACCATGCTGTTTTTATTACAACCACTTTACAATATGTTTTAAAATCCGGAAGTATGATGCCTCTAGCTTTTTTTTTTTAATTATACTTTAAGTTCTAGGGTACATGTGCACAATGTGCAGGTTTGTTACATATGTATACATGTGCCATGTTGGTGTGCTGCACCCATTAATTCGTCATTTACATTAGGTATATCTCCTAATGCTATCCCTCCCCACACTCCCCACCCCACGACAGACCCCAGTGTGTGATGTTCCCCTTCCTGTGTCCAAGTGTTCTCATTGTTCAATTCCCATCTATGAGTGAGAACACACGGTGTTTGGTTTTTTTGTCCTTGCGATAGTTTGCTGAGAATGATGGTTTCCAGCTTCATCCATGTCCATAAAAAGGACATGAACTCATTGTTTTTTATGGCTGCATAGTATTCCATGGTGTATATGTGCCACAGTTTCCTAATCTAGTCTATCATTCATGGACATCTGGGTTGGTAGCAAGTCTTTGCTTTTGTGAATAGTGCCGCAATAAACATACATGTGCATGTGTCTTTTTAGCAGCATGATTTATAATCCTTTGGGTATATACCCAGTAATGGGATGGCTGGGTCAAATGGTATTTCTAGTTCTAGATCCTTGAGGAATTGCCACACTGTCTTCCACAATGGCTGAACTAGTTTACAGTCCCACCAACAGTGTAAAAGTGTTCCTATTTCTCCACATCCTCTCCAGCACCTGTTGTTTCCTGACTTTTTAATGATCGCCATTCTAACTGGTGTGAGATGGTATCTCATTGTGGTTTTGATTTTCATTTCTCTGATAGCCAGTGATGATGAGCATTTTTTCATTTTGACTGCATAAATGTCTTCTTTTGAGAAGTGTCTGTTCATATCCTTCACCCACTTTTTGATGGTTTTTTTTTTCTTGTAAATTTGTTTGAGTTCTTTGTAGATTCTGGATATTCGCCCTTTGTCAGATGAGTAGATTGCAAAAATTTTCTCCCATTCTGTAGGTTGCCTGTTCACTCTGATGGTAGTTTCTTTTGCTGTGCAGAAGGTCTTTAGTTTAATTAGATCCCATTTGTCAATTTTGGCTTTTGTTGCCATTGCTTTTGGTGTTTTAGACATGAAGTCCTTGCCCATGCCTATGTCCTGAATGGTATTGCCTAGGTTTTCTTCTAGGGTTTTTATGGTTTTAGGTCCAAGATTTAAGTCTTTAATCCATCTTGAATTAATTTTTGTATAAGGTGCAAGGAAGGGATCCAGTTTCAGCTTTCTACATATGGCTAGCCAGTTTTCCCAGCACCATTCATCAAATAGGGAATCCTTTCCCCATTTCCTGTTTTTGTCACGTTTGTCAAAGATCAAATGGTTGTAGATGTGTGATATTATTTCTGAGGGCTCTGTTCTGTTCCATTGGTCTATATCTCTGTTTTGGTAACAGTACCATGCTGTTTTGGTTACTGTAGCCTTGTAGCATAGTTTGAAGTCAGGTAGCGTGATGCCTCCTGCTTTGATCTTTTGGCTTAGGATTGTCTTGGCAATGTGGGCTCTTTTTTGCTTCCATATGAACTTTAAAGTAGTTTTTTCCAATTCTGTGAAGAAAGTCATTGGTAGCTTGATGGGGATGGCATTGAGTCTATAAATTACCTTGGGCAGTATGGCCATTTTCACAATATTGATTCTTCCTATCCATGAGCATGGAATGTTCTTCTATTTGTTTGTGTCCTCTTTTATTTCATTGAGCAGTGGTTTGTAGTTCTCCCTGAAGAGGTCCTTCACATCCCTTGTAAGTTGGATTCCTAGGTATTTTATTCTCTTTGAAGCCATTGTGAATGGGAGTTCACTCATGATTTGGCTCTCTGTTTGTCTGTTATTGGTGTATAAGAATGTTTGTGATTTTTGCACATTGATTTTGTATCCTGAGACTTTGCTGAAGTTGCTTATCAGCTTAAGGAGATTTCAGGCTGAGACGATGGGGTTTTCTAAATATACAATCATGTCATCTGCAAACAGGGACAATTTGACTTCCTCTTTTCCTAATTGAATACCCTTTATTTCTTTCGCCTGCCTGATTTCCCTGGCCAGAACTTCCAACACTGTGCTGAAAGGCAGTGGTGAGAGAGGACACCCCTGTGTTGTGCCAGTTTTCAAAGGGAATGCTTCCAGTTGTTGCCCATTCAGTGTGATATTGGCTGTGGGTCTGTCATAAATAGCTCTTATTGTTTTGAGATATGTCCCATCAATACCTAATTTATTGAGAGTTTTTAGCATGAAGGGTTGTTGAATTTTGTCAAAGGCCTTTTCTGTATCTATTGAGATAATCATGTGGTTTTTGTCTTTGGTTATGTTTGTATGCTGGATTATGTTTATTGATTTGCATATGTTGAACCAGCCTTGCATCCCAGGGATGAAGCCCACTTGATCATGGTGGATAAGCTTTTTGATGTGCTGCTGGATTCGGTTTGCCAGTAGTTTTTTGAGGATTTTTGCATCGATGTTCATCAGGGATATTGGTCTAAAATTCTCTTAGTTGTGTCTCTGCCGGGCTTTGGTATCATGATGATGCTGGCCTCATAAAATGAGTTAGGGAGGATTCCCTCTTTTTCTATTGATTGGAATAGTTTCAGAAGGAACGGTACCAGCCCCTCCTTGCACCTCTGGTAGAATTCAGCTGTGAATCCGTCTGGTCCTGGACTTTTTTTGGTTGGTAGGCTATTATTGCCTCAATTTCAGAGCCTGATATTGGTCTATTCAGGGATTCAACTTCTTCCTTGTTTAGTCTTGGGAGGGTGTATGTGTCCAGGAATTTATCCATTTCTTCTAGATTTTCTAGTTTATCTGCATATAGGTGTTTATAGTATTCTCTGATGGTAGTTTGTATTTCTGTGGGATCGGTGGTGATATCCCCTTTATCATTTTTTATTGTGTCTATTTGATTCTTCTCTCTTTTCTTCTTTATTAGTCTTGCTAGTGGTCTATCAATTTTGTTGATCTTTTCAAAACCCAGCTCCTGGATTCATTAATTTTTTGAAGGGTTTTTTGTGTCTCTATTTCCTTCAGTTCTGCTCTGATCTTAGTTATTTCTTGCCTTCCGCTAGCTTTTGAATGTGTTTGCTCTTGCTTCTCTAGTTCTATTAATTGTGATGTTAGGGTGTCAATTTTAGATCTTTCCTGCTTTCTTTTGTGGGCATTTAGTGCTATAAATTTCCCTCTGCACTCTGCTTTAAATGTGTCCCAAAGATTCTGGTATGTTGTGTCTTTGTTCTCATTGGTTTCAAAGAACATCTTTATTTCTGCCTTCATTTTGCTATGTACCCAGTAGTCATTCAGGAGCAGGTTGTTCAGTTTCCATGTAGTTGAGGAGTTTTGAGTGAGTTTCTTAATCCTGAGTTCTAGTTTGATTGCACTGTGGTCTGAGAGACAGTTTGTTATAATTTCTGTTCTTTTACATTTGCTGAGGAGTGCTTTGCTTCCAACTATGTGGTCAATTTTGGAATAAGTGCGATGTGGTGCTGAGAATAACGTATGTTCTGTTGATTTGGGGTGGAGAGTTCTGTAGATGTCTATTAGGTCCACTTGGTGCAGAGCTGAGTTCAGTTCCTGGATATCCTTGTTAACTTTCTGTCTCATTGATCTGTCTAATGTTGATAGTGGGGTGTTAAAGTCTCCCATTATTATTGTGTGGGAATGTAACTCTCTTTGTAGGTCTCTAAGGACTTGCTTTATGAATCTGGGTGCTCCTGTATTGGGTGCATATATATTTAGGATAGTTAGCTGTTCTTGTTGAATTGATCCCTTTACCATTATGTAATGGCCTTCTTTGTCTCTTTTGATCTTTATTGGTTTAAAGTCTGTTTTATCGGAGACTAAGATTGAAACCCCTGCCTTTTTTTTTGTTTTCTATTTGCTTGGTAGATCTTCCTCCATCCTTTT
Source organism: Homo sapiens (assembly GCF_000001405.40). Taxonomy (NCBI): domain Eukaryota; kingdom Metazoa; phylum Chordata; class Mammalia; order Primates; family Hominidae; genus Homo; species Homo sapiens. Next base: position 9,884,589 of record NC_000006.12, on the reverse strand, counting down.
ATTTTGAGCCTATGTGTGTCTCTGCACCTGAGATGGGTCTCTGAATACAGCACACTGATGGGTCTTGACTCTTTATGCAATTTGCCAGTCTGTGTCTTTTAATTGGAGCATTTAGCCCATTTTCATTTAAGGTTAATATTGTTATGTGTGAATTTGATCCTGTCATTATGATGTTAGCTGGTTATTTTGCTCGTTAGTTGATGCAGTTTCTTCCTAGCTTCGATGATCTTTACAATTTGGCATGTTTTTGCAGTGGCTGGTACCGGTTGTTCCTTTCCATGTTTAGTGCTTCCTTCAGGAGCTCTTGTAAGGCAGGCCTGGTGATGACAAAATCTCTCAGCCTTTGCTTGTCTGTAAAGGATTTTATTTCTCCTTCCCTTATGAAGCTTAGTTTGGCTGGATATGAAATTCTGGGTTGAAAATTCTTTTCTTTAAGAATGTTGAATATTGACCCCCCACTCTCTTCTGGCTTGTAGAGTTTCTGCCGAGAGATCTGCTGTTAGTCTGATGGGCTTCCCTTTGTGGGTAACCTGACCTTTCTCTCTGGCTGCCCTTAACATTTTTTCCTTCATTTCAACTTTGGTGAATCTGACAATTACGTGTCTTGGAGTTGCTCTTCTTGAGGTGTATCTTTGTGGCGTTCTCTGTATTTCCTGAATTTGAATGTTGGCCTGCCTTGCTAGATTGGGGAACTTCTCCTGGATAATATCCTGCAGCGTGTTTTCCAACTTGGTTCCATTCTCCCCATCACTTTCAGGTACACCAATCAGACATAAGATTTGGTCTTTTCACATAGTCTCATATTTCTTGGAGGCTTTGTTAATTTCTTTTTACTCTTTTTTCTCTAAACTTCTCTTCTCGCTTCATTTCATTAATTTGATCTTCAATCACTTATACCCTTTCTTCCAGTTGATCGAATTGGCTACTGAAGCTTGTGTATTCATCACGTAGTTCTTGTGCCATGGTTTTCAGCTCCATCAGGTCATTTAAGGACTTCTCTACACTGGTTATTCCAGTTAGCCATTTGTCTAATCTTTTTTCATGGTTTTTAGCTCCTTTGCCATGGGTTCGAACTTCCTCCTTTAGCTCGGAGAAGTTTAATAATCTGAAGCCTTCTTCTCTCAACTCGTCAAAGTCATTCTCCGTCCAGCTTTGTTCCGTTGCTGCCAAGGAGCTGCATTCCTTTGGAGAGGGAGAGGCACTCTGATTTTTAGAATTTTCAGCTTTTCTGCTCTGGTTTTTCCCCATCTTTGTGGTTTTATCTACCTTTGGTCTTTGATGATGGTAACGTACAGATGGGGTTTTGGTGTGGATGTCCTTTCTGTTTGTTAGTTTTCCTTCTAACAGTCAGGATCCTCAGCTGCAGGTCTGTTGGAGTTTGCTAGAGGTCCACTCCAGACCCTGTTTGCCTGGGTATCAGCAGCGGAGGCTGCAGAACAGCGAACATTGCTGAACAGCAAATGTTGCTGCCTGATCATTCCTCTGGATGCTTCGTCTCAGAGGGGTACCCGGCCGTGTGAGGTGTCAGTCTGCCCCTACTAGGGGGTGCCTCCCAGTTAGGCTACTCAGGGGTCAGGGACCCACTTGGGGAGGCAGTCTGTCCATTCTCAGATCTCAAACTCCATGCTGGGAGAACCAGTACTCTCTTCAAGGCTGTCAGACAGGGACATTTAAGTCTACAGAGGTTTCTGCTGCCTTTTGTTCGGCTATGCCCTGCCCCCAGAGGTGGAGTCTACATAGGCAGGCAGGCCTCCTTGAGCTGCGGTGGTCTCCACCCAGTTTGAGCTTCCAGGCTGCTTTGTGTACCTACTCAAGCCGTAGCAATGGCGGGCACCCCTGCCCCAGTCTCGGTGCCTCCTTGCAGTTCTATCTCAGACTGCTGTGCTAGCAATGAGCGAGGCTCCGTGGGCATGGGACTCTCCAAGCCAGGCGCAGGATATAATCTCCTGGTGTGCCGTTTGCTGAGACCATTGGAAAAGCACAGTGTTAGGGTGGGAGTGACCCGATTTTCCAGGTGCCGTCTGTCACAGCTTCCCTTGGTTAGGAAAGGGAATTCCCTGACCCCTTGCATTTCCTGGGTGAGGCGATGCCTTGCCCTGCTTCGGCTCACGCTCGGTGGGCTGCACCCATTGTCCTGCACCCACTGTCCAACAAGCCCCAGTGAGATGAACCTGGTACCTCAGTTGGAAATGCAGAAATCACCCGTCTTCTGCGTCATTCACTCTGGGAGCTGTAGACTGGAGCTGTTCCTATTCGGCCATCTTGGAGGTATAGATCCTTTTTTTTTTTTTTTTTTGCTCAAGATTGTCTGGCTATTTGAAGTCTTTTGTGGTTCCATGAAAATTTTCTATTTCTATAAAAATGACATTGATTTTTTTTTTTTTTTTGAGACACAGTCTTGCTCTGGTGCCAAGGCTGAAGTACTGTGGTGCAATCTTGGCTCACTGCAGCCTCAACCTCCTGGGCTCAAGTGATCCTCCCACCTCAGCCTCCCAAATAGCTGGGACTACAGGCATGCACCACCACACCCAGATGACATTAGAATTTTGATATGGATTGCATTTTATCTGTATATTACTTTGTGTAGTATAGACATTTTTTCAATATTAATTCTTTATGTCCATAAACATGGTGTATCTTTCCATTTGTTCATGTTTTCTTTAGTTACTTTCGTCAGTTTTTTGTAGGTTTCAGTACGCATGTCTTTGCACCTTTGGCTAAATTTATGCCCAAGTATTTAATTTTTTGTTGCTATTGTAAATGGAATTGTTTTCTAGTTTCTTTTTTGATAGGTCATTATTAACATGTAGAAGGACAACTGATTTTCTTATGTTGATTTTATATCCTGCAAGTTTACTGAAATTGTCTGTTCTGACAGTTTTTTGGTGGAGTCTTTAGGGTTTCCTATATATAACATCAGCAAATAGAGATAAATTTACTTCTTCTTTTCCTATTACGATGCGTTTTATTTCTTTCTGCTGTTTAATTTTTCTGGCTAGGACTTCCAGTGCTATGTAGAAAAGAAGTGGTGAGAGTAGGCATCCTTGTCTTATCTTTGATCTTAGAAGAAAAGCTTTTAGCTTTTTATCTCTGGAATAATGCTAGTTATAGGTTTATCATATATGGGCTTTATTGTCTTGAAGTACATTCCCTTTATACTTATATGTTCATGATTTTTAACCATAAAAGGGTGTTAATTTTTAAAAAATGTTTTTCTGCATCTAATGAGATAATCATATGGTTTTTATCCTTCATTTTGTTAATACGGGGTATCACCTTTATTGATTTGTGTATGTTGAACCATTCTTGCATTCCAGGGATAAATCCCACTTGATCATGGTGAAAGACCGCTTTAATGTGTTAGTGAATTCAGTTTACTACTATTTTGTTGAGGATTTTTGCATCTATGTTAATCAGGGATATCGGCTTATAATTGTCTTTTCTTCTAATGTCCTTGTCTGGCTTTCATATTAGGGTTATGTTAGCCTCAGGAAATGAGTTTGGAAGTATTTTCTCTACTTCAATTTTTTGGAAGATTTTTGAGAAGAGTTGGTATTATTTCTTTAAATGTTTGGTAGAAGGGGCTCAACAATGAAGCCATCAGTCCTGGGTTTTTCTTTGATAGGAGACCTATTATTACTGATTCAACCTCTTCAGTAGTTATTGGTCTTTTCAGATGTTTTTATTTCTTCATGATTCAGTTTTAGTAGATTGTATGTGTTTAGGAGTTTATCGATTTCTTCTAGGTTATCCAACTTCTTGGTGTATAATTATTTGTAGTAATTATAAATAATTATTTGTATTTCTTTGATATAACTTGTAATGTCTCCTCTTTCCTTCTGATCTCATTTATTTGAGTCTTCTCTTTTTTTCCCTAGTTAGTCTAGCTAAGGGTTTGTTTATTTTGTTTATTTTTTCAAAAAATCAACTCAGTTTGGTTGATTTTTTAAAATTGTTTTTCTAGTATCTGTTTTATTCTGCTCTGACCTTTGTTATTTCCTTTCATCTGCTAACTTTGGGCTGAGTTTGTTGTTTTTACCCCTAATTTCTTAAAGTGTAACATTAGATTGTTTATTTATAATCTTCTTTTTTTGATGTAGGTGTTTACACTATAAATTTCCCCCTTAGGACAGCTTTTGCTGTATTTCATAACTTTTGGTATGTTTTGCTTCCACTTTCTTTTTTCTCAAGATATTTTTTAATTTCCTTTTTGATTTTTGCTGTGATCCATTCATTGCTTGTTTAGGAACATGTTGTTTAATTTCCACATATTTGTGTATTTTTTTATTTCTTCTGTTACTGATTTCTAGTTTTATGCCATTGTGATCCAAAAAGATACTTGATATGATTTCAATGCTCCTAAGTTCGTTAAAATTTGTTTTGCGACCAGACATATGATCTATCCTGAGAATGTTTTCTGTGTACTTGAGAAAAATATATATTCTGCTGCTATTGGATCAAATGTTCTATATATGTCTGCTAGATCCATTTGGTCTAAAATATAATTCAAGTCCAGTTTTTTATATATTACTTTTCTGTCTAGATGATCCATCCATTGTTGAATGTGAGACACATTTCTTTGTCTTTGATTTTTGATAATTGTATTATGACGTGTGTTGGAAACTCCTCCTGGATTGAATTTGATTGGAAACCTCTGGGTTTTTAATATCTGCATGTTGTCTTCTTTCCCAAGATTTGGGAAGTTTTCTGCCATTATTTTCTTAAATGTTTTCAAGGCCGTTTTCTGTCTTTCTTCCTTCAGGAATTCTTATGCAAAGGTTAATTACTTGATGGTGTCTCATAATTCTTTTATGCCTTCCTTATTCTTTTTAATACTTCTTTTCTTTTTGCCCTGCTAATTGGATAATTTCAAATGTCCTGTCTTTGAGCTCACTGATTCAAGAAAGCATCAGTGCTTGATAAAGTCAGCTGTTGAAGTTTTCTATTGAATGTTTCAGTTTAATTATTATATTCTTTACCTCTAAGATTTCAAATTTTTAAAATTGTTTATATTCATTAAACTTCTTATTTTGTCTATGAATGTTTTCCAAATTTTATTTAATTTTGTATTTGTATTTTTTGGTAGTTCTCTGAACTTCTTTGTTAGTCATTTCATGGATCTTCACTTTTTTCTGGGTTCATTATATAACCACACTATGGGTTTTTCCTGCCCACTGCACAAACAAAATTGACTCACTGAGACTAAGGCACTGCAGTAAAGGAAGAGTATAATTGATGCAAGGGTGGCCACGCCACATGGAAGATGGAGTTATTACTGAAAACACTCTTCCCAAAGGCTTATAGGTTAGGGGTTTTTCAAAGATAGGTTGGTGGTCAGGGGGCTAGGGTAGGGGATATGCTGATTGGTTGAGTTAGAGATGAAATGATAGGGAATCATTGCTGCCTCTTGTGCAAAAGTCAGTTCCTGGGTGGGGGCCACAGGACTGGTTGGTAGGTCCAAGTGAGGTCGTTTGATTGTCAGAAATGCAAAAACCTGAAAAGATATCTCAAAAGGCCAATCTTAGCTTCTACAATAGTGATATTATATGCAAGAGTAGTTGGTGAAGTTGCAAATCTTATGACCTCTGGAACAATGGCTGGTAATTATTTAGAATTCAAGCCCCTTGCATCCTAGTCACTTGGTGGCCTTTCATTAATTTCAGAACAACAGTTAAGTTTTGGAGAAGGGCTGTTATCATTTAAACTATAAACAAAATTTCTCCCAAAATTAGCTTGCCTATGCCTAGAAAGAGCAAAGATAGCCAACCTGTGGTGCTAGAAGCAATATGGAGTCAGTTATGTCAGATTTCTCTACTGTCATAATTTTACAAAGCTGGTTTCAATTACTGGAACTTTACTAGTTTATTTTGGTGATGTCATAACTCACTGATTTTTTATAATCCTTTTATTTATATCTTGACAAACGTACATTTGAGGAGGTAGCCACCTCTTTGGCCTTTGCAGGTATTCTTTAATGGTGATAGACCTTTAGTATTTAGTCTAGCATGGGATTCTAGATGGGCCAGCTGGTAAAATCTCAGAGAGTCAGACCTTAGCGTTGGGTTCTCAAGTTGGGCTGGGTTGCTTTATCTGCTCTGAGGTTGAATGGTACTGAATGCTGTGCTTTGTAGTTAGGTGAGACTACTGGCTAGGCTCTGCAATCTTCTCTGATCAGGTCATTTTCCTTGGCTGGCTAGTACTGCCGTTTGTAATCTGTAGTTGGGCAGGGCTGTGGGATGGGCTTTGAGTCTACATGAGGATTCTGGGGTTGCTGCTTGGCCACACAGAGTGAGTAGGGTCAGAGGCTGTGTTCCACAGATATATGTGGACTTGGGCTTGCCTCCAGAACTAGGATAGGCTGAAACAGAGTACTGAGGTTTGATGCAGTTATCACCCAGCAGCTGGGAAATGGGGGCGGGGGGGCAGATTCTATAATACTTCCAAGAGTACTCACTAACCTGCAGTTGCCTCTTGACTTGGAAGAGACTTAACAAGACCACTAAGACTTAGTTGGATCATCTCTCCACTGCTTGGGAAGGTTTGGACAGGGGTAGATGCTGGAAAAGAGAGAAAAAGACCAGAAGTTGCCCTTTGACCTGGGGAAGACTTAGCAAGATTAGCCAGGTTGCATAAGGAAGCTGGCTAGGAATTCAAGCTTGTTAGATCTATGGACCTTGTTTCCTCCAACATGATGCTGTTGGCTGTTTTCTCTGGTGTGGTGCCTCCATTGGCTGGAATGCAGAGCAACCATCAAAATCTGCATGCTGGTCATCATGAGACCCACCCTTGTTCTTTGTTTCCAGGTGGTTTATCCCTGGCAGTATTCTCAATGTTTTACATGGCTTTTACAAAGGGTCACTTTGCAGGAGGGTCACTTTGACTCATCTCATGGATAAGACACAGTTCTTTCTGTAGAAACTGTGAGTTCACATGCCAGTTAGAAAGGCGATCATTCAAAAGTCAGGAAACCACAAGTGCTGGAGAGGATGTGGAGAAATAGGAATGCTTTTACGCTGTTGGTGGGAGTGTAAATTAGTTCAACCATTGTGGAAGACAGTGTGGTGATTCCTCATGGATCTAGAGCAAGAAATACTATTTGACCCAGCAATCCCATTACTGGGTATATATCCAAAGGATTATAAATCATGCTACTATAAAGACACATGCACACGTATGTTTATTACAGCACTATTCACAATAGCAAAGACTTGGAACCAACCCAAATGTCCATCAATAATAGACTAGATAAAGAAAATGTGGCACATAAACACCGTGGAATACTATGCAGCCATTAAAAAGGATGGGTTCATGTCCTTTGCAGGGACATGGATGAAGCTGGAAACCATCATTCTCAACAAAATATTCCAAGGACAGAAAACCAAACACTGCACGTTCTCACTCATAAGTGTGAGTTGAACAATGAGAACACATGGATGCAGCAAGGGGAACATCACATACTGGGGCCTGTTCGGGGGTGGGGGGCTTGGGACGGATAGCATTAGGAGAAATACCTAATGTAAATGATGAGTTGATGGGTGCAGCAAACCAACATGGCACATGTATACCTGTGTAACAAACCTGCATGTTGTGCACATGTACCCTAGAACTTAAAATATAATAATAATAATAATAAGACTGTGAATCCAGAGAAATTCTCTGTATGTAGTGCTGTGCCAGCCTGGGGGAGGAGTGGCGCGGCCAAAGAGAACCATTTGTTTTGCCATTTGATTGTGGCTTTCTTGGTTCTGCTGTCTAAGGGGATGTCTCAGCCTTATACCTGAGTTCTGGGATATTCATAATGGTATTCTTGTCTGTGGATAGTTGCTAGATGGATTTCTGCTGGGGGCATGAAGCCAGATAATTTCTGTTTCACCATTTGCTGATATCACTTCTCCATTCCTTTATTTTCAAAAATACAGACCATTAGAAAATTTTGACTGACCTCCTTTCCTTACCTACCATTGAGTTTATACCTTATATACATTCCCCTACTTTGAAAAAGACTATGATTCCCAAACTGTTTGCCACATTTAAAAAAACACATTGCTTCTATGTAAAGTCTAGCTGGTCATATCTTACTGTCATTTTGCAGAAATAATTGCAAATATTTATTGTTATGTATCAAGTGTTTGATATCTAATGTACTGAATAAAGAAATAATTGCAGAAAATATGAGCCATTTACTTACATACTTATATCTTTGCAAAGTTATGAATTCACTTAGAGTTTTCAAATGTTATAACTCAACAAAGTGAACCACCAGTCTCTATGTTGTTATTATGACATTGTTGATACTGCTCTTTGTATTCATCACCTTGGGCTACCATAACAAAATTCCACAGACTGGGGGCCTTAAACAATAGTTCTGGAGGCTGGAAGTCCAAGATCAGGGTACCTGCATGGTGAGTTTCTGGTGAGGGCTCTCTTTGTTGCGGGTAGATGGCTATCTTCATGTGGTGGGGAGAGAAAGGGAGCAAGTCCTGTGGTGTCTCTTCTCATAAAGACAAACCCTCATGATCTCATCTAAACCTAATTATCTCCCAAAGGCCTCATCTCCACATACGACTGCATTGGAGGTTAGGGCTTCAACATATGAATTTTGGAGGAGCAAAATTCAGTCCATAGCACTCTTCCTTAAAAAACACTAGATTTTAGTGAAAACTTTTCTACATAGATCTTAGCTCATGAAAAATTTATTTACCCTGAGTACTGAATGATGTACTTGTTTCACAAGCATTTCAGCTGAAGTGCTTCTAGTTGCTGAGTGCTTTGTTTATTTTAAGATAGGGCGTTGGATAGCAAAGAAGCCTGAGGCTGAGAAAGAATACTGCTCAGAGATGGGTGGACTGCCAAAACCTTGTGAAGTTGTACTCCTTCTTGCTATCAAAGACCTAAAGTGCTTCTGAATATTCCTGGAATTTTTTGACATGCACGTTTAGGAAGGACAAAGTAAAATAAAACTACTTATTTTATCACTAATATTTATAAATTGTTTCAATCATTTGAAAGCTGATTTGTACCACAATGATTGTTTCATTTATCAATTTGGAAAAGGTGAACTATTTTCAAACATGTACTAAATATTTACCATTGCTACTATTTGGATTGCTCACATTGAGTGTTTAATGTGCCAGAGTATATGATGGTATAATGGAAAATAGTTTGAGAAGAAACAGAGAATAAATTTTTATTCCCCTGATTGAAAATTTTCAACAAAACCAATGATTCAATTCTTAGCTTCTCTAAATAATAGTTTTGATTAACTTCGTTTTCAAAGAAAAATGAGGTGAAACGTGTGTGTGTGTATGTGTGTCTGTTTGTGTGTCTATGTCTGAATATATGAGAGAGAGAGAATTTGTCAGTAAAATTGCTTGAGGATCATGAAAAATAAAAAAGGAGATATTTGAGAAAATAATCTCACTGCAAAGGCTTTGACGCTGTGTCTCGTCTCCATGTCTGTTAAAATGTGAGTTCCATGTAGAATTTGCACAAATCCAAGGAAAACTCCCAGTATGCTCAATCTTCTAACCCAGGATGTTGAGTATATTTATAGAATTCTACAACAGAATCTGGTAGGCTGCAGGAAGCCAATTTTCAAAATGTCTGCATAACACCAATTAATATTAACAAGAATTATATTTGAATATGAAGAGAAACAGCCTCCTTAACTTTCACTTTTCATTTTTTTCTTTAATGTTATTGCCGACCACAATGTTCATTAGTGGCACAATAAAAAGGAGCTACTGGTAAATAATAACAAGCCTTTGTAGTTATACAGTGCCTTTGATCAGAGCAACTCGGAGTTTTTGTGGCTCATTAATCTTTGAAATACCTCCGTGAAATATAACAGTGTCAAGAATTACTACCTTTATTTTTAAACAAAGAAACTGAGGTGTTTGCAAGAAGCTCTCCCAAGGTCCCTCAATGATTTGATGTCAGAATCAGAAATATGATGTAAAAACCAGAGATAATTAGGGCAAAGATGAACAGTGCTCAACATAAACCAGTAGCTTCTGAGAAATTTCGGGAAAACTATGATCAGAATGTTGCTTTAAAAAACATTTTCATTTATTTTTTATTTTTAATTATTTCTTCTGTTTAGTAATGAAGAGCTGTTTACAACTTCTCATTAGAATCACTTAATATTGGGACATTTCCTTAAGAACTTCTTTTTTTGTATCTTTTATGTGAAGAAATGGTGTACATTTCCTATGAAATAATTTAATTACCAATAGAAGAAAAGGCAAAAGTAATTATATGTATATATATAAGCATATATCTATATGGCTCTATACCTATCTATCTCTCTATCTATTTATCTATCTATATCTCCACATCTATATATGTTTAGTCAATTAAACGTAAATCTGCCTGGTCGTCCATTGATTTTGGAGAACATTGTAAAAGAGATACTGTACTCTACTTCACTGCAATTTCCATATGAATATAGGTTAAGAGCATAGACCCGGTAATATTGTTATTATTATTTATTCAAAAGCCAACTCAGCTCCAGTCAGAAATGACAGTCAGAAGATAGCAAAGCACATGCTTTTCCAAACAAGTGTCTAAGGAAATAACTCATTGTGAGGTTTAGTAGAAAAATAAAAATTTATTTTTTAAAATGATTATTTTTCATTACCCCTTTACTCTGTTATGGTTACTTAAGTTTTCAAAGGTTAATGCCTAGAGACCCCTGTGGAGTGACAGAGTCTATAAGGGCAGAGATTACATTGTTTGCTCATGCACACACACACACACACACACACATACACATACACACATACACACACACAGAATGAGAGAGAGAGAGAGAACTTCGTATTTTATGTCTGTGTCCCCGTTCCCCATACCCTAGTATATAAGTAACAGTTCTGTATGTAGTAGATCTTCAAGATTGCCCATTGATCTCTCTGTTATTTGGCTGAGGGTTTTCGTTTCTCATACTGTTTTGTTTTTATGGTATACCATGGCTCTCCTATTATTATCTCTGGTGTTCCTCAGATGAAGTCCAGTGCCACTTCCAGTTAAATGTCATCCATCAACCTCTGTCAGAATAACTAAGGTGCTAATTAAAATGCATGTTCCTGAGTATAAACACATATTTACTGTCTCATAATCTCAGTAGTGATAGGAGCCCTAGAATGTATGATTTAACATGAACCCTCTAAGATATTCTTTTTTTTTATTATACTTTTAAGTTCTAGGGTACATGTGCACAATGTGCAGGTTTGTTACATATGTATACATGTGCCATGTTGGTGTGCTGCACCCATTAACTCGTCATTTACATTAGGTATATCTCCTAATGCTATCCCTCCCCACTCCTCCCACCCCATGACAGGCCCCGGTGTGTCATGTTCCACTTCCTGTGTCCTAGTGTTCTCATTGTTCAGTTCCCACCTATGAGTGAGAACATGTGGTGTTTGGTTTTTTTGTCCTTGCGATAGTTTTTTGAGAATGATGGTTTCCAACTTCATCCATGTCTCTACAAAGGACATGAACTCATTGTTTTTTATGGCTGCATAGTATTTCATGGTGTATATGTTCCACATTTTCTTAATTCAGTCTATCATTGATGGACATTTGGGTTGGTACCAAGTCTTTGCTATTGTGAATAGTGCCACAATAAACATACATGTGCATGTGTCTTTATGGCAGCATGATTTATAATCCTTTGGGTATATACCCAGTACTGGGATGGCTGGGTCAAGTGGTATTTCTAGTTCCAGATCCTTGAGGAATCGCCACACTGTCTTCCACAATGGCTGAACTAGTTTACAGTCCCACCAACAGTGTAAAAGTGTTCCTATTTCTCCACATCCTCTCCAGCACCTGTTGTTTCCTGACTTTTTAATGATCGCCATTCTAAAATCATTGTGGTTTTGATTTGCATTTCTTTGATGGCCAGTGATGATGAGCATTTTTTCATGTGTTTTTTGGCTGCATAAATGTCTTCTTTTGAGAAGTGTCTGTTCATATCCCTCGTCCACTTTTTCATGCGGTTGTTTGTTTTTTTCTTGTAAGTTTGTTTGAGTTCTTTGTAGATTCTGGATATTAGCCCTTTGTCAAATGAGTAGATTGCAAAAATTTTCTCCCATTCTATAGGTTGCCTGTTCACTCTGATGGTAGTTTCTTTTGCTGTGCAGAAGCTCTTTAGTTTAATGAGATCCCATTTGTCAATTTTGGCTTTTGTTGCCATTGCTTTTGGTGTTTTAGACATGAGGTTCTTGCCCATGCCTGTGTCCTGAATGGTATTGCCTAGGTTTTCTTCCAGGGTTTTTATGGTTTTAGGTCTAAGATTTAAGTCTTTAATCCATCTTGAATTAATTTTTGTATAAGGTGTAGGGAAGGGATCCAGTTTCAGCTTTCTACATATGGCTAGCCAGTTTTCCCAGCACCATTTATCAAATAGGGAATCATTTCCCCTTTTCCTGTTTTTGTCAGGTTTGTCAAAGATCAGATGGTTGTAGATGTGTGGTATTATTTCTGAGGGCTCTGTTCTGTTCCATTGGTCTATATCTCTGTTTTGGTACCAGTACTATGCTGTTTTGGTTACTGTAGCCTTGTAGTATAGTTTGAAGTCAGGTAGCGTGATGCTTCCAGCTTCGTTCTTTTGGCTGAGGATTGACTTGGCGATGTAGGCTCTTTTTTGGTTCCATATGAACTTTAAAGTAGTTTTTTCCAATTCTGTGAAGAAAGTCATTGGTAGCTTGATGGGGATGGCATTGAGTCTATAAATTACCTTGGGCAGTATGGCCATTTTCACGATACTGATTTTTCCTATCCATGAGCATGGAATGTTCTTCTATTTGTTTGTGTCCTCTTTTATTTCGTTGAGCAGAGGTTTGTAGTTCTCCCTGAAGAGGTCCTTCACATCCCTTGTAAGTTGGATTCCTAGGTATTTTATTCTCTTTGAAGCCATTGTGAATTGGAGTTCACTCATAATTTGGCTCTCTGTTTGTCTGTTATTGGTGTGTAAGAATGCTTGTGATTTTTGCACATTGATTTTGTATCCTGGGACCTTGCTGAAGTTGCTTGTCACCTTAAGGAGATTTCAGGCTGAGACGATGGGTTTTTCTAAATATACAATCATGTCATCTGCAAACAATTTGACTTCCTCTTTTCCTAATTGAATACCCTTTATTTCTTTCTCCTGCCTGATTTCCCTGGCCAGAACTTCCAACACTATGTTGAACAGGAGTGGTGAGAGAGGGCATCCCTGTGTTGTGCCAGTTTTCAAAGGGAATGCTTCCAGTTTTTGCCCATTCAGTATGATGTTGGCTGTGGGTCTGTCATAAATAGCTCTTATTATTTTGAGATACGTCCCATCAATACCTAATTTATTGAGAGTTTTTAGCATGAAGAGCTGTTGAATTTTGTCAAAGGCCTTTTCTGCATCTACTGAGATATTCTTATACATATTGAAGACCTCTTCCTGTCTTATAATAATAGTTAATACTTCTGTAGAACTTACTATGTGCCAGGCATTGTTTTAAGTGCTTTATGTTTAGTAATGTATTTAATTCTCACAAAGATTTGAGATGTTATGCAAAAAGTACTATCCTGCCAAGAACAGGAATTCCTAAACTCATATATATTTAGAATGTACTAATTGTAAATGAGATGACAATATAAGATCTACAATATATGAGGCAGGAGTTTAGATTTAATTGACAGGAAATTGCAAACATAATATAGAGAAGCCCTGATTATCTTTACCTCATATTGATTTATTTTTTAAAAATTATCACTGGAGTGGTTATTTCCTCAAGATCCTTTCCTATGGTTGGCTAAATTTATTCAGTATATCTTTAGGACTCTTACAGAGTGGAATATGTTTATGAAAGTTTTGGAATTTATTGTCATTCTTCCATTGTAAGTTTTCTTTAATAGGTTCTTAACATTGGCCCACCAATAATTATCTCAAGAAAACCAACAACAATTTTCTCCAAGGACTTTTTTTGAATAATTAGGGAAACTCTTAAATATGAAAAAGGATTATAAAATATAGAAAACAAATTAATGCTGCCAGAGTAATCAAGACAGTGTGATATTGGTGAAATAATACACAAACTGATCAATGAAACAGAATAGGGAGCCTAAAAATAGATCCACACAAATATAGTCAATTGATTTTTTTGACAAAGGAGCAGAGGCAATGCAGTGAAAGAAATATATATATTTTTTAGCAAATGGTGGTAAGACAACTGGACACCATCCACATGCAAAAAACAGAAAAATGAACCTAGACACAGACTTTGGGCTCATCTCCAAAATTAACTGAAGAATGCATTATAAACATAAATGTAAAACACAAAACTATAACTCTTCTGGAAGATAAAATTGGAGAAAATCTAGATGACCTTAAGTATGATGATGATTTTTGAGACACAACACCAAAGGCGCAGTCTATGAAACAAATAACTGCTAAACTGGACTTCATTGAAACAAAATCTGCTCTGCAAAAGACTCAAGAGAATGAGAAGACAAGCCACAGACTGGGAGAAAATATTTGCACAAGGTATATCTGATGAAGGACTGTTATCCAAAACATAAAAAGAACTCTTAAAACTCAACAATAAGAAAACAAATAACCAGATGGGTATGTGAAAAGATGTTCAATATCATACGTCATTAGGGAATTGCAAATTAAAACAACACTGAAATACCACCATACACCTATTAGAATGGTGAAAATCCAATATAACACTGACAATACCAAATGCTGGTGAGGGTGAGAAGCAACAGGAAGTGTCATTTATTGCTGGTAGGCATTCAAAATGGTACAGCTACTTTGGAAGATATGTTGGCAATTTCTTACAAATTAAACATACTCTTATCATATGATAGAGCTATTATACTGCTTGGTATTTATTTAAATGAATTAAACATTTATGTTTATAGAAAAACTTCAGCATAGATGTTTATAGCAGCTTTATTCAAAAGTGCCAAAACTTGGAGGCAATCGGGATGCCCATTAATAGGTGAATGGACAAATAAGCTGTGGTATAATATTAATGCATCAAGACAGTGGAATATTATTTAGCACTGAAAAAATTTAATATAAAAAATCTACATAATTTATGATTCCAATTATATGACAGTCCAGAAAAGGCAAAACGATGGAGACAGTAAAGAGATCAGTGTTTGCCAGGGGTTGGGGGAGAGGGAGGAATGAACAGGTGGAGCACAGATGATTTTTCAGTGCAGTGAAAGTACTTTGAATAATACTGTGTTGGGTATGGGTTATTATACATTTGTTCATATCCATAGAATGTACAACCCCAAGAATGGACACTGTAATGTAGACTATGGACATTGAGTGATAATGATGTGTCAGTGTAGGCTCATTAACCTTAACAAATGTACCACTCTGGTGTAGAATGTTGATAGTGGGGAATGCTGAGGGGCAGGGATTGGTAGGGACTATATGGGAACTCCCTGTATTATCTGTTCAATTTTTCTATGAAACTAAAACTGCTCTAAAATATATAATAAAGTCTTTAAAAAACGTAAGTACGGTTTTCGGTTTTACATTTAAGCCTTTAATCCACCTTGAGTTAATTTTTGTATAATGTGTAAGGAAGGGGTCCAGTTTCAGTTTTCTGCATATGGCTAGCCAGTTTTCCCAGCACCATTTGTTGAATATGGAATCCTTTCCCCATTGCTTGTTTTTGTCAGGTTTGCCCAAGATCAGGACATAGGCATGGGCAAAGACTTCATGACTAAAACACCAAAAGCAATTGCAACAAAAGCCAAAATTGACAAACGTGATCTAATTAAACTAACTGAGCTTCTGCACAGCAAAAGAAACTAGCATCCGAGTGAACAGGCAACCTACAGAAAGGGAGAAAATTTTTGTAATCTATCCGTCTGACAAAGGTCTAATATCCAGAATCTACAAAGAACTCAAACAAATTTAGAAGAAAAAAATGAACAACCCCATCAAAAAGTGGATAAAGGATATGAACAGACCCTTCTCCAAAGAAGACATTTATGCAGCCAACAAATTCATGAAAAAAAGCTCATCATCACTGATCACTAGAGAAACGCAAATCAAAACCAGAATGAGATACCATCTCATGCCAGTCAGAATGGTGATTATTAAAAAGTCAGGAAACAATAGATGCTAGCGAGGCTGTGGGGAAATAATAATGTTTTTACACTGTTGATGGGAGTGTAAATTAGTTCAACCATTGTGGAAGATAGTGTGGCGATTCCTCAAGGATCTAGAACCAGAAATACCATTTGACCCAGCAATCCCATTACTGGGTTTACACCCAAAGGATTATAAATCATTCTAGTATAAAAACACATGCACACGTGTGTATACTGCAGCACTATTTACAATAGCAAAGACTTGGAACCAACCCAAATGCCTATCAATGAGAGACTGGATAAAGAAAATGTGGCACATATATTCCGTGGAATACTATGCAGGCATGAAAAAGAATGAGATCATGTCCTTTACAGGGACATGGATGAAGTTGGAAGCCATCATTCTCAGCAAACTAACACTGGAATAGAAAATCAAGTAGCGCATATTCTCACTCATAAGTGGGAGTTGAAGAATGAGAACACATGAATGCGGGGAGGGGAAAAACACAACGGGGCCTATGTGTGGGGGGTGTGGGGACAAGGGGAGGGAATGCGGGGATGTGGGGCTTATGCGGGGCTTAAAACCATGCTGATGTCACGCCTGTAATCTTAGCACTTTGGGAGGCCAAGGCGGGCGGATCACGAGGTCAGGAGATCGAGACCATCCTGGACAACATGGTGAAACCCCATCTCTACTAAAATACAAAAGCTAGCCAGGTGTGGTGGTGGCCACCTGTAATCCCAGCTATTTCAGAGGCTGAGGCAGGAGAATCGCTTGAACCTGAGAGGCGGAGGTTGCAGTGAGCCGAGATCGCACCCCTGCACTCCAGCCTGGTGACAGAGCAAGACTCTGTCTCAAAAACAAACCAACCAACCAAACCAAACCAAACCAAACCTAGATGATGGGTTGATAGGTGCAGCAAACCACCATGGCACACGTATGCCTATGTAACAAACCTGCACATTCTGCACATGTATCCTGGAACTTAAAGTAAAATTTAAAAAATTTAAAAAAAATCCCCCCATAAGTACTAAATTTTGAGGTGTGATAACAATATTATGGCTTTGAAGAAAATGCCTCCTTTATAAGAGATGGATACTGAAATATTTCATGGTTAAATGTTAAAGTCTGTGATTTATTTGAAGCTTTTTCAGCTTTTTAATATCTATCTATCTATAGCACAAATATGGTCAAGTTTAATTATTACATTTAGATAATGAGTATATAGTGATATCATTATATAATTCTCTCGTATTTTTAAATGTTTGGTCTTGCTCACAATTACAAGTAAACATAAACACTTTTGTTTTGATTACCATATATTAATTTATTTTCGAATATCTGTCAGGTTAGACCATCTAATTCTCCAGGGCTCACTGTTGACAGAACATTAGAATTACCTGGGGATGAATTAAGTCCATTTCTGAGGGGGACAGATAAGTGGGACCTGGCCATCAGTAATTTTTAGAAGCTCCAATACACATCAAGAATTGAGAACCACTGCTCTAGTGCCTCTATTCCTGGTTTCTAGAAGTTTTTTTTTAAAATGATGTAATGAACGGCTTTTTAAGGCATCTGCAGGCTCAAAACAATAATTATCAGCCATTTTCTCATCATAATGCAAACAGTGCTGTGAGAGTCTCTGCTTCTCAAACTCTGAGGAGTCATAAAAAATTCTCACTGACAAGATTATATACGAGAGGTAGATAGATAAACCATAATATTTAATTTACTTGAGCTTAAATGTATTGAGTAACTATCATGTGCCAGACATTGGGACAGGAATTTTCATGTCACTTCATTAATTTTTTTTGCATGAAACCATGGGAGGTGGATATAATGATCCTGCCATTTCAGATGAAGAAATTGAAGCTTAGAGGTTGTTATTCTCTCCTGATATTTCACCTGGAATCCCCAGGTGCCCCTTACCTCTTTCCTGGATTCCTCAGAGTTTCACTTATCCCATTTGTATTAGTCCATTTTCACGCTGCTGATAAAGACATACTGGAGACTGGGCAATTTACAAAAGAAAGAGGTTTATTGGACTTATAGTTCCACATGGCTCAGGAGGTCTCACAATCATGGCAGAAGGCAAGGAGGAGCAAGTCACATCTTATGTGAATAGCAGCAGGCAGAGAGCTTGTGCAGAGAAACTCTTGTTTTTTTAAACCATCAGATCTCACGAGACCCATTCACTATCACGACAGCAGCAGGGGAAAGACCCACCCCCATGATTCAGTCATCTCCCACCCTCTATCTCCCACAACACGTGGGAATTATAGGAGCTACAAGATGAGATTCAGTGAGGCCACAGAGCCAAACCATATCTCCATTCTTTGACCCTGTAGCATTTTGTTCTAGGGGGTCACACATGAATACTCTTTCCAATATTTTATCTGTGGATTCTTTCATTCCTCACAGTTTTCCTTTAGGGTCATTAAAACTTAAGTCTCACATCTGAGAGAATTGACTAAACTAGATTTAAGCAGCATGCCATTCAAATTATTTTTTAAAAAGCAATTTTCTACTGTAGATTTAGAAACCAACTGATCTCTTGTAGCTAGCATAATTTCCGATTAACTAATTTAATCTGTGCAAAATTACATAAGCAAACCTGAAACAAGTCTTCATCAATTTTTTGCCCTTGGATGAAACATAATATTTTCAAAAATGAACCAAATAGAGTAATTAGCCCCTAGGCAGAGCAAATGACTCTAATAGCCATCTTCCACACATTCCTTTGGTGGAAAGCCAGAAAATGAAAATAAAAAGGTAGCAGCTCATGAGTTAAAGCTTTGCATGTGTCCTATTAAGTAAAGATTTGGTATATTTATACTCAGTGTTACCTTACAGAAGGTGAAAAAAGTTGATATCTTCCCTTCAGGCTGCCAAAAGCTCTCTTTTGATGGACCATATGATTTCCAGCAGTGCTTAGCTGCCAATTACATGGATAAATATCTTATTTTTCAGTTCTTTAGTTAATTTAGTGTTTATTTGGTTTCAATTCCATTATTTGTGGCAGCATAAAATCACAAGTAAAATATTCTAATTGTAGTTGGTGCGAGTCAACCTTTTTATATTTTGAAAAGTAAACATGATCTAGGGGATGAAAACTCTACCTCCAGGGGTTAAGAGATCTGAGTTCTGGGTCCCAAAGCTCTGAGGAACTGCATGTTACTTGGGCAAAATATGCAAGCAATCTGAGCTTTGGCCTTCACATTTGCATAGAGGGCAGAATTTGATCATTACTAAGATTCTTTTCAGTTCTAAAATTTCAATGATACTACCTTATACTTAAATACAATCATTATTAAAAACATAGCAGGTAACCCCCAAATCTATATTATGGGTAATATAATTATTTCTTGGTGTGGATTTCTTTCTTTTGGGTTAATTATCCTTTACATCAGTATTTCTTAAATTTTTTGAGCATTAAAACCACCTAACATGCATGTTAAGGTGCGGGAACAGGCTTTCTTGCACTGTTAATAGATGGTCGCTATTGCACTGATTCTCCCCTTGTAAGAGGGTCCTGCCAGTGTAGGAGTGACACAATGGTCAATTTAAAAATATTAGGGGAGTATAGGTTGAACAGCCTTGTAGATGACTCTGAAATGGCTCTTTGGTGGTGGCCGAAAGAGTTGTTGGAAGGGAATTTGGCTCTTTCTGTGGTCAGGGACCAATGATTTAAATACTATGATTATATCTATGAAGCACTGTATAATTAATTAAAGTTATTTTGACTCAATGTATATATTATATTGTAAAACATTTATAGAGAGAAAAGAAAAGCAAGGAATATTTTCCAATGGAAGAAGTATCCCTGATCCTGAAACAAATTCAGCCTTTCTTACTCTGTTTCATAACTCTCCACCACTTTTCGAATTCCCCATTTTCCTCATGTGCCATTCTAAACCAGTTGTTACTTCTTTTTTGTTTTATTTTCCTTTTTTTTGAGATGCAGTCTTATTCTGTATCCCTGGCTGGAGTGCAGTGGCATGATCTTGACTCACTGCAATCTCCATCTCCTGGATTCAAGCAATTCTCCTGCTTCAGCCTCCCGAGTAGCTGGGATTACAGGCACATGCCACCACACCTGGCTAATTTTTGAATTTTTAGTAGAGACTGGGTTTCACCACGCTGGCCAGGCTGGTCTTGAAATCCTGACAGGTGATCCACCCACCTCGGCCTCCCAAAGTGCTGGGATTACAGGTGGGAGCCACCGCACCTGGCCCATTCTTTTTTTCTTATCTTCATAATATTTTCAGTAACTTTAAAAAACTGTTTTGGTTTTGTATATTGTCTATTCATTTTCTATTTAATTAATTTCTGCCCTTGTCTTCATTATTTGCTGTTGTGCCACTTGGTGGATGTACAGTAGAAACCTGCCACCCAGATTTACTTCAGATATTGAGACTGCGTGATGCCACATACACACACCAACGGGTATGAAAACGTTTATTATTCACATAATAAGGCTTTCTGGGGAGAGAGGACAGGCTCACAAGCACATCCAAAAATGGCTTGAGAGAGAAGGAAGGTGATGTGGTTTAGATTTGTGTCCCTGCCCAAATCTCATGTCAAGTTGTAATCCCCAATGTTGGTGGGAGGCGACTGGATCATAGGGGCAGACTTCTCCCTTGCTGTTCTCCTGATAGTGAATGAGTTCTCACAAGATCTGGTTGTTTAAAAGTGTGTGGCACCTCCCCCCACTCTCTTCCTCCTGCTCCAGCCATGTAAGGCATGCCTCCTTCCTTTTTGCCTTCTGCCATGATTATAAGTTTTCTGAGGCTTCCCCAGCCATGCTTCCTGTACAGCTATGAAACAATGAGCAAATCAAACCTCTTTTCTTTATAAATTACCCAATCTCAGGTAGTTCTTTATTGCAATGCAAGAATGAACTAATACAGAAAATTGGTAGTTAGGAGTAGGGCATTGCAATACCTATACCTGAAAATGTGGAAGCAACTTTGGAACTGGGCAGAAGCTGGACCAGTTTGGAGGACTCAGAAGACAACAGGGTGAGGGAAAGTTTGGAACTTCATAGTGACCTGATAAACTGTTGTGATCAAAGTGCTGATAGTGATATGGATAATGAAATTCAGGCTGAGGAGGTCTCAGATGGAGTTGAGGAACTTACTACAAACTGGAGCCAGGTCACATTTGTTACATGTGAAAAAAGAGATCTGAAACTGGAACATATATGTAAAAGGAAAGCAGAGTGTAAAAGTTTGGAAAATTTGCAGCCCAGCCAAGTGGTAGAAAAGAAAAGTCCATTTTCTGGGGAGTATTCAAGGTGGCTACAGAAATTTGCCTATGTAAAGAGGAGCCAAATGTTGATAGTCAATGTAATGAGGAAAATGCCTCTAAGGCTTTTAAGAGACTTTTGTGGCAACCCCTCATATCACAAGCCTGGAGGCCTAGGAGAGAAAAATGGTTTTGTGGGCTAGGGCCAGGACCTTGCTGCTGTGGCAACCTGAGGACATGTCACCCCGCATTGAGGCTGCTTCAGCTCCAGGTGTGGCTAAAAAGGGCCAAGGTACAGCTCAGGCTGTTGCTTCAGAGGGTGTAAGCCATAAGTCTTGGGACCATCATGTAGTGTTAAGCCTGCAGGTGTGCAGAGTGAAAGCCTCCATCTAGACTTCAGAGGCTGTGTGAAAATGCCTGGATGTCCAGGCAGAAGTCTGCTGCATGGATGGAGCCCTCATGGAGAACCTCAACTAGGGCAGTGCAGAGGGGAAATGTGATGTTGGAGCTCCCACATAGACTCCTGTCTGTGGCACTGCTTAGTGGAGCTGTAAGAAGAAGGCCACTGTCCTCCAGACCCCAGAATGGTAAACCCATAAACAGTTTGCATCGTGCACCTGGAAAAGCCACAAGCACTCAATGCCAGGCCATGAAAGCAGCTGTGGGGGATGTACCCTGCAAAGTCACAGAGGTGGAGCAGCTCAAGGTGTTGGGAGCCCACCCCTTGCATCAGTGTTGCCTGGATGTGAGGCATGGAGTCAAAGGAGATTATTTTGGATCTTTAAGATTTAATGACAGCCCTCCTGGGTTTTGGGTTTGCATGGGGCCTGTATTTCTCCCTTTGGATTGGGAGTATTTAGTCAATGCCAGTATTTTGGAAGTAACTATCTTGGTTTTGATTTTACAGGCTCACAGGTGAAAGGGACTTGTCTGGTCTCAGATGAGACTTTGGAATTAGACTTTTAAGTTAATGCTGAAATGAGTTAAGACTGGGGGACTGTTAAGAAGGGTTGATTGTGTTTTGCAATGTGAGAAGGACATGAGATTTGGGAAGGGGCAGGGCAGAATGATATGGTTTGGCTTTGTGTCCCCACCCAAATCTCGTGTTGAATTGTAATCCCCAATGTTGGAGGAGGGGCCTGCTGGAAAGTGATTCGATTATGGGGGCAGTCTTCACCCTTGGTGCTATTCTCATGATAGTGAGTAAATTCTCACAAGATCTGGTTGTTTAGTGATTTGTAGCACTTCCCCCTTCTCTCTTCCTCCTGCTCCAGCCATGGAAGACATGCCTTCTTCCTTTTCACCTTCCACCATGATTGTAAGTTTCCTGAGGCCTCCCCAGTCATGCTTCCTGTACAGCCTGTGGAACTGTGTGAGCCAATTAAATCTTATTTCTTTATAAATTACCCAGTCTCAGGTAGTTCTTTATAGCAATATGAGAACAGACTAATACAGAAAAGGAGACTGGATTGGCTTTTTTTGTAAGTAGGGAGTGGAGTTTGGGTAAAATTTTCCATGTGTGACAAGTGCTTGCATAATTTGAACTTCCCACTGGCCCCAAGGGAGGGGATGCCTGGGGTTTCTTATTGTCTTGCCCACCTGAGGCGTAACAGGGGAGAAAAAAGGGGTAGGCTTGAAAGCTTTCAGCAGTCAAACATCAAAAACAGAGTAAGACTCTTTCTTACACTTGTCTTCTGCTTACTTTGAAATTAATTTGCTTTATTTTAAAAAATATTCAAGGTAGAAACATATGACACTGATTTTATATCCCTCTCTATCCCCAATGTAGATTTTAAAACTATATTTTTTCTTCTAAGTACTTATTTTTCTATTAATTTAGACATGTTATGCTTTAATTATCATTTACTTTATTGTATTGTAAATTTCTTTTTTGACCTGTGGGTTTTTGAGAGATATGCTCTTGAATTTCCAAATATACGGGGAATTTTACTAGATATCTTTTTGTTGTTTATTTCTAGTTTACTACAGTTGGGATCAGAGAATATACTCTGTATTATATTATTTATTTGAAATTTATTAGAACTTGTTTTAAGGCCCATTATACAGTCTATCAGTATCTTATTTCATGATCTATGTGCACTTTTACTTTTGGAATGTTCATTTGGCTCTTTTCTGTAAGTTTCATTATCTGCTTATGAAGGTTGTTTACCTTTTTCAACATGGTCTTTTAACTTATTTTTCATAGTTATTTTAATGTTCTTATCTGATAATTTCAGCATCTTATTTATCTCTGAGTCTGGTTCTATTGATTGCTTCCTATCTTGACAATATATCACATTTTCTTGGTTCTTTTCATCTGTAACTTTTAAAATTGAAGGTTGAAATACTAAGTGAACAATAGAAACTGAAATAAAAAATATGTTCGCCACAAAAAGGTATATCCCTTCATCTGCCATGTTATTAGTGGCAAATTTGTTTCAATCTATAAGCATTCGATCACCTGTTTCTGGGTTTTATTGTTACATTAGGTAGATTCAACTCACCACTCTCCTCAAAATATCTGATGCCGAGATCAAAACCTTCCCTTGAGTGGAGCTTGTGATTTCAGTGCCTAGAAGGTTTGTCTCAGTTTTCCTGCCCTAATCCTTCAGCAGTTTCTGTGTATTTGCAATGTAGGGTAAGTGATCTCTCTTAGAATTTCTGTCTCTTCCCCAATCACTCAGTATAGGATCCAGAATATACTGTGATATTTCTCATTCTCCTGCTCTGCCCTTAGTATTTAGTAGGTCCTGTGCTTTGTGCCTTGGGCATGGGTAGTTTCTCTTAGCTTTCTTGCCCTGCACCTAATCTTTCTTATGAGCACTTAGCAAAGGCTCATAGAAAATAACTGGTGGATAGGTGAAGACTCTTTCTCCTCCTTCTCTTCCTTCTCCTTCTCTTCCTCCTCCTCTTCTTCTTCCTCTCCTTTTTTCTTTTTCTTTTTCTTTCTTTTTTTTTTTTTGAGATGGAGTATCACTCTTGTTGCCCAGGCTGAAGCTCAGTGGCAGGATCTCAGCTCACTGCAACCTCTGCCTTGCGGTTTCAAGCGATTCTCCTGCCTCAGCCTCTAGAGTAGCTGGGATTACAGGTGCACGCCCAGCTAATTTTTGTATTTTTAGTAGAAATGGGGTTTCACTATGTTGGCCAGGCTGGTCTCAAACACCTGACCTCATGATCCACCCACCTCAGCCTCCCAAAGTGCTGGGATTACAGGTGTGAGACACCGCACCTGGCTGCCACTGCCACCTCCTCCTCCTCCTTCTCCTTCTTCTCCTCCTCCCCTTCTCCTCCTCCTTCTTCATCCTCCTCCTCCTCGTCCTTCCGTCCTTCTCCTCCTCCTTCTTTTCCTGCTCCTCCTCCTTCTCATCCTTCTCTTTCTCCTCTTCCTCCTCCTTCTTCCCCATTTTTCTCTTCTTCTTCTTCTTTTGTATGGAGGATCTTGAGCTTATAAATCTTCATGCCAGCCCATTCCTAGCCTTAGAAAATCAGATAGATATTCAGTTGTATCCTTCTCACAATTTCTACCTGCTTCTACTGCTCTGTCAAGGATGGAAGCAGCTGTGGATTTCTTTTCTCCTAAGAGAGAATTATCATTTCTGGATTTTTATCTATGTTTCTTTATGGCCTCAGCTCTCAAATAGGCTTTTAAAAACCCATGATTTTGTAGGTTGTCTAGTATTCTTTTATTTTTGGTGTGACAGAAACATTTTCTTGGGACTTTTTCTGTCTTAAGTAGCAGTGAAAGTCTCCCTTGCCTGTATCTTCAAATTGTCCTTCTCATTGGATTTTTTTCTTTACCATACTTTTATTCCAATTCATCCTTAATTTGAAAAGAAAGAAACAAAAACAATGACAACTCTTTCTTGGCCATGCAGTCTTTTCTCTCTATGACCATAAATCTTTATCCTTCCTCCAGCATCCCCACCATACTTCATAAGCAAGCTAGAAAGAATAGTATCCCCTTGCATTCTCCATTTCTTTCTCTCTTAGTCTTTTCTCAACACATTGGTATTTAGTTTCTACTATGGTGACCTCCGATACTGTTCCTGTTTTTATGACCTCCAATTGCCAAATTAATCACTTTTCAGTGTGTATTTTATTTGACCTATCGCCTTAAAAATTAGACATGTTCTACTTTTCTAAAACTGTTTTATTACTTGGTTTTATTGCTTCTCTTATATTTATAGGTCCTTCTTTTCCATCTATCTTTAAAATGTCATTTTTCATGGAACTCTTTCTTTTCATGCTCTATACATTTACTACAGGTCATCTCATCCACATTCAAGAGCTTCAACTTTCAACTAAAGACAAAGTTTATATCTCCAACCAAGATCTCTGCCCTGCCCTCCAGGGCTGCATATTAAACTACCTTCAAGATACCACCACTGGATCTTTCTCTTTTTCTTTCCTCCTTCCACCTCAAACTTTCTCTTCTTGAGTTCTTTATAGCATTGAAAATTACACCATTATCTATGTGGTTATCCAAACTTAGAAACCTCCAGGTCAGATGGCATCTAAGTCATCCTCAATTTCTACTTTTTCTTAACCAAATCAACACTAGTCCTATTCATTCAGCTCCTATGCATTTCTCTAATCTCACTCTTCCTCTCCATCCCCTTGCCACATCTCTAAATTTCTAGCCCCACCACATCTCACTGTGGCTATACTTTCCCTGCCATCTCTTTGCAGTGTGCTCAGTCCTCCACACTGCTGCTAGAAAATCTTTCTAAAGTGGACATTTGACCAGGCTGCTCCTTTGACTAAAACCTATAGTTGTTTACCCTTCATCTATAGTGCTTAGCACATAAGAAATGCTCAATATTTTTGAAAGAATGATAGGTAAACATTAAAACTACGTAGAAATACATTCAAGGCATTTTGTTCTCTAATCCTTCTCGACTTTTCTAATTTGACCTCCTACTTTTCTGCCTTTTGCCCTTCATACTCTAGCCACTATCCAATCTATAATTTTATAGATATTCCTAGAGTTTTAGGAGTAAATCTTTTTTTTTTTTTCTCGAGATGGAGTCTCACTCTGTCACCCAGCCTGGAGAGCAGTGGTGCCATTTTGGCTCACTGCAACCTCTGTCTCCCAGATTCAAGTGATTCTTCTGCCTCAGCCTCCAGAGTAGCTAGGATTACAGGTGTGCACCACTGTGTCCAGCTAAATTTTTTTTTTTTTTTGTAGAGATGGAGTTTCACTATGTTGGCCAGGCTGGTCTTGAACTCCTGACCTCAAATGATCCACCTGCCTTGGCCTCTCAAAGTGCTGGAATTATAGGCATGAACCACCATGCCCGGCTGGAATAAGTCTTATTGACATTGACATATTGTTCCTTTTTTTCTGAATTGGTTTCCTTGATTATTTTCTACAGTAAAACTCAAATAGTTATTCCCTTTGGTTCTAAGTTACCTTTGTAGAAACCTCCACTTTAGCTATTATCTGTTTTGCCTATAGATTAGTCTCCCATAAATAACACACTCCTAAAAGGGGAACTTTGTCTTTTCTATTCACTATCTAAGAACCTAGCAGTGTCTGGCATGTAATAAAAACTCAAAAAAGTAGAAAGAAAGGAGTGTGAGTTCAAATCAGGGTATGATATCCTAAATCAGGAACTTGTTGTGGCATAATAAAGCCTGTGGAGGTGGCCTATTTATTATTATTAAGGAGACTTTTCTTTGATTGGAAGGAAATCATTTAAGATTGAAGACATATTTAGGAGAGCTGTGATGGAAGGCTGTTGACAGAAAAATAATTTTTCTATTTTTAATTTCTGTTTCCATTGTGAAAGAGGTAATGAATTAAAAAAAGTTACAGAAAAGTAGTTGGAGGCTTTTCTTTTTGAGCCTAGCTATATGGTGAGGGTTGAGTAAAAACAGGAAGAAATCTCGTAGTCTATCATTAATGTAGTTCAGGCAGCAGGAGGAAGCTTTGCTGATTTGAAGAGTTCGCCAGAAGAGTTCAGACAGTCTAGGCCAGATCAACACCTGGAGGTAGTGTAGGTAAAAGAAAATGTAGAGAATTCTAAGAGTAGAGAAAAAAGTCAAGGACGTGTCAGCAACAGCACAGCAGCAGTGGACTTGATGAGATAAGGTGCTTTTTACACTTCCTTAAATTTTGCTTTATTTTATATCTTTATGCACTTATGAGACATATAGTGTAACTAGAACACGCTATTATTGGCTTTGTTATTTTAGTAATGAGTTAATTTTTTAAAATTTAAAAATACTTTATTACTAAACAATGCTAATGATCATCTGAGCCTTCAGCAAGTGGTCATCTTTTTGCTAGTGTAGGGTTGTCTCAAGGTTACAGCTGCTGACTGATCACAGTGGTGGTTGCAAAGGCTGAGGTGGCTGTGGCAATTTCTTAAGATAAGGCAACAATCACTTGCCACGTTAAATGACTCTTCTTTTCACAAAAGATTTTTCTGTAGCATATGGTGCTATTTTACTGCATTTTACCCACAGTACAACTTCTTTCAAAATTGGAATCATCAGCCTGGCGCGGTGGCTCACGCCTGTAGTCCCTGCACTTTGGGAGGCCAAGGCAGGTGGATCACCTGAGGTCAGCAGTTCAAGACCAGCCTGGCCAATATGATGAAACCCCGTCTCTACTAAAAATACAAAAAATTAGCTGGGCGTGGTGGTGCATGCCCATAATCCCAGCTACTCAGGAGGCTGAGGCAGGAGAATCGCTTGAACCCGGGAAGCGGAGGTTGCAGTGGGCCGAGATCGTGCCACAGCACTCCAGCCTGGGCAACAAGAGCAAAACTCCACCAAAAAAATAAAATAAAATAATCAAAGTTGCTGAATTGCTGCAATCTCATGGTCAAACTTGAATGGATAAGGAGTTGCTTCTTAGGAATGAGCAAAGAATAGTTTCTTGAGATCGAATCTACTCCCGATGAAGATTCTGTGAACATTGTTGAAATGATAACAAAACATTTAGAATATTACATAAATTGAGTTAATGAGTTAATTTTAAAATGAAACATGTATACAGATGAGTTGTGAATTTTAGCTCTTGTGTGACCTATTGGGCTGGATGAGTATTATTGTTTCATCTTTATTCATTCTCAGTATACCACCTTGTGTGGCTAAGACAGCAGAGGCACTACAGATTTGGTTCCTAGAAGGGAATATTTGGTCTTAGGAGGCTGCCCTAATATTTCTAGATCTGAGACGGATGTGAACTCACAAGGAAAATAAGAAAGCAATTGTTCAATTATTTTTTAGATAAAATAATTGAAGACATTAAAGCCTATTGTTTCCAAAAATGTAAACCAGACAAATGGACTTTCTGCCATGTAATGAGAACATGAAAAAAAAAATTACCAAGTTTTAAAATAGCATACTCTACTTGATTGGGAATCCTGCTACATTATGTTCCAATTGTGTGATCTCAAGCAAACTCACCCCTCTGGAGTTCAGTATTTATATCTATAAAATAACAGGAATGATACCTGCCTTTCTTATGTCACAAAAATGTTAAAGACAAATTTGAGTCTGTGGTTTTACATCAAATGGGATTATCATATATGGAGTTGAAACCAAAAGAATGCATTACAGTGCATTTTACATGCTAATTTTGCTTTAATACCTTCATTTGAGTTTATTCAAATACACCTGCCCAAGTATGTAAAGTCTGAGGAAATGTGAGGGTTGATGGGAAAACAGAAGACTGTATAATAAATTAATGGGTAGCCCTTCATAATTACGTAAATTGGAATAAAACCTCATTCAATGTCCTAGAGAAACATTAATTAAGAAGTGGAAACTAAAGTTTGACGGACAGTCAAAAATATGTAGTACATTTTGGAATATATTTTCTTTTTATGAAATGAGTGGTGAAAGCTTAAAATTAGGTATGTAAAACCAGGGAGAAATGATAAAGCAGAAATACAATAAGGTCAGAGATACAGAACTAAGGCATACTATTGCATCCAGTGTTGACTTATTTTTTTATAGGGTGGATGCCCCATGTAATGATTGCCTTCCTGAAGTTAAGAGAAATTATAACATTAGAGTCATCCAGGACCTTTTGAAATTCTCCTCAGGGCCAGTTTCGGTCGGCTTATTTTTCTCAAGTTTATATTCCATCTTTGCTTAGTACCCATTGCATTGTCAAATGGTAGACAGACAATGAAATTGTAAATGAATGAACAAATGAATGCTTTAGGTTGCTAAAATTCACATGTGATTTCCTTATTCTCATTTATGTTTCAAATATCCTGTACTTCCATCATGTTGTTAGCTTACGTTGCATAAACTTGATTGTATAGTTGCATTATAGCGTCAATGAGCTATGTATTTTAGTGTGGTATTTTTGGTGGCAAATATCATTCTTCCATTTCCATGTTTAGCACTCCCTTTAGGATCTCTCATAAGGCAGGTCTAGCGGCAAGAAATTCCCTTAATGTTCGATTGCCTGAAAAGCAATTTACTTCTTTGCTTAAGAGTGTTTGGTGGGCTATAATTCTTTTCTGGAATTTATTCTCTGTAAGGATGCTATAAATGGGCCCCCAGATCTCTTCTGGCTTGTAAGGTTTCTGCTGAAAGGTCTACTGTTTGCCTGATTGGGTTCTCTTTGTAAATAACCTGTCCCTTCTCTCTGGCTGCTTTAAAGATCTTTTCCTTTCATATTGATCTTGGAGAATCTGATGACAATGTGTCTTGAGGATGGTCATCTTACGTAGTATCTCACAAGGGTTCTCTGAGTTTATTGAATTTGCATGTCAACCTCTCCAGCAAAATTGGTAAAATGAAGTCAAGTTATTAGTTTCCACGCACTTCTATAGATTTTTTTTAGTTTTTAAAGCTTTATGTGTACATAGTAGGTGTATATGTTTATAGAGTATGTGAGATATTTTGATACAGGCATGCAATGTGTAATAACCACAACAGGGTAAATGGGATATCCATCACCTCAAGCTTTGTGTAAATTTTGACAGTTCCTCTTAGTATTGATTTCTAATTTTACTCTACTATGGCCTGGGAAGATACTGGAGATGCTTTTGATATTTTTTTAAAATTTAATGAGCATTGTTTTATGGCTAAGCATATGATTAATTTGGAGAATGTTCCACATGCAGATGAGAAAAGTGTGTATTCTGGAGTTGTTGGTTAGAATGTTCAGTAAATGTCTACTAGGTCTAGAGTCCAGTTGAAGTCCAGAGTTTCCTTGTTGACTTTTTGTTGCACACTGTGAAGTGGAGTGTTAAAGTCCCCTACTAGTGCTTCAGTGCCAATCTCTTTTCTTAGGTCTAGTAGTATTTGTTTTATGAATTTCAGTGATTGTTGTTGGGTGCATATATATTTAAGATATTTAAATCTTATCATATTGAACCCTTTATCACTATATAATGCCCTTCTTTATCTTTTTTTTTTAACTGTTGTTGGTTTAAAGTCTGTTTTTATCTGATGTAAAAATAGCTATTTCTGCTTGCTTTTGTTTTCCATTTGTGTGATGTATCTTTTTCCACCTCTTTACTTTGAATTTGTAAATGTCTGTTGTAGGCAGTAGATGGTTGGATCTTGTTTTTTGATCCAATTTGCTAGCCTGCATCTTTTAAGTGCAGTTTTTGGACTATTTATGTTCAACATGAATATTGATATGTGAGACTTTGTTTCTTTCACAGTATTGTTAGTGAGTTTCCTTGGAGTCTCAATTTTGTAACTGTTTTATAGGATTTGTGATATGTCTATTTACATGTGCTTTTTCTTCATGGTGAGTATCATCGTTTCATTTTTTTGTTTAAAACTCCTTTGAGCATTTCTTACAGAGCTGGTCTAGTGGTGATGAATTCTATCATCTTTTGCTTGTCTGAGAAAAAGTTTATTTCTCCTTATTTATGAAGGTTAGTTTGGTGGGATGTAAAATTCTTGGCCGGCAGTTTTTCTCCTTAACAAGGCTAAAAATAGGCCCCCATCCTTTTCTGGCTTGTAAGGTTTCTGCTGAGAAGTTCACTGTTGGTCTTGTGAGATTCTCTTTATAGATTATTTGACACTTATGTCTAGCTGCCTTTAAGATTTGCTCTTTTATTTTGACCTTGGATAGCCTGATGTCTATATGCCTTGGTGATGTTCATTTTGTATAGTGTCTTAAAGTATTCTCTGAATTTCTTGTTTCTGGGTGTCTACATCTGTAGTACAATCAGGGAAATTTTTCTGAATTATTATCTCAAACATGTTTTCCAAGTTGGTTTCTTTTTCTTCTTTTCCTCAGGAATGCCTATAAGTCACATTTGGTTGCTCTCAATAATCTCATATTTCTTAAAAGCTTTGTTTTTCTTTCGACATTCTTTTTTCTTTATTTTATCTGTCTGGGTTAATTAGAAAGACTGTTCTTCAAGCTCTGAAATTCTTTTTTCTGGTTGGTATAATCTATTATTAAAGCTTTCAACTGTGTTTTGAAATTCCTTCAGTAAATTTTTCATTTCCAGAAATTGTGTTGTGTTTTTTAAAAAACATATCCAGCTTGTCTTTCAATTCCTGGTTTATTTTGGTGTTCCTTTGTATTACTTTTTAACTTTCTCTAGGATTTTACTGAACTTCTTTGCAATTTGTATCTTGAATTTTTTGCCTGTCATTTCAACGTTTTCATTTTGGTTAGGATCCATTGCTAGAGAGCTAGAGTGGCACTTTGGGGATGCCACAACATTTCGTTTCTTCATGGTGCTGGAGTTCTTGTTCTGGTTCCTTCTCTATATGTCAGTTCTTACTTTTGGATTTACTTACATTTGGGTGGGATTTTTTTTCTTCTCCTCTTGAGGCTATTACTGCTCCATCTGTTGCATAGGGTCTTTTGGTTTTGCTTCTATGTGCTTTTAGCAGGCTAAGGCACTGTATGAATTCCTTGGTTATAGACATCCTTAGTACAGTGGTTTTCTCAAGTATGTGTGGTCAGGCTTACTGTCTCCTATAGCAGTGGGTAGGTGGAGGTCTCAAGAGACTTATCTCATTCCCCAGCGGTGTTCACTTCTGTCAGCAGAAATTAAATTTGGTTGGGCAGTTCAACCTTCAGGCCAGGAGGTGGCACTTGCAGGTAAGAGCTGGCTGAGCGCTGTACAGTGATGTCAGCAGAAGTTGTGGTGAGTCATGCAGTTTGGCATCCATGCCATTAAGTGGGGCCTGTAGGTGAGATGCAGTTGCGGTGATGACTGGGATTTTTACTTGGCCTTTGTTGATGAGAGCAATACCAGGGTGTCCCTGGCAATGGACGAGACATGGGGCTCTCAGGGTTCTCGTTCTGCACTCTGCTGCCAAGGAGCTGGAGGGGGCAAAGCTAGGCAGGGCTAGCTAGGTGGAGCTGGATTGTGCAAGCCCATTACCAGGCTCTCTGAGTGCTGCACCCTTGAGGGGTTGTCGGGGAAGTCCTCAGGTCACTGGGACAACCCTCCAGGGAGGGATTGAGGCACTCCTTCTGCACCTGTCATGGAAAGAGGGGTGGCCATGGTTTTCAGCTCAGAAGGTAGGGGCCATAGGGCCTGTTCAGCTCTGCTCTGACACCTCTGCGCAGGTGGGTCTCTGTCACTGGCAACAGGCCTGACTTGTTAGGCTAGTTCCAAGCCGTCTGCACCCAGATCACCACACCGTCCCAAGCATCCCAGACCTCAAGGCTTCCTGTGGCAGAAACTGCAGCTTTCAGGCCACATCCTTCCTAGTCCAGTTTTGTGAAGGGAGCACCACTACACACTCTTCACTGTGCTTTGTCAGTGGGAGCTCCTCCCCACCTGGAGACAGTTCACAAATCTCTTCCCCATACCCACAGGTGGTGTGATTGGGTCCTGGGAAACTGGGACTGTGCCAGTAGTTTGTCCTTTGGCTCCTCAGGGTCAAACATTGGCTGTGATTTGGAGAGTAAATTCCTCCCAGGCTGCCAACAAACCACCCAGGCAGTGTGATGGAGGCTATGCCATGGGGACCGCATACCTCTCCTCCTCTGGGAATGACCAGACAGGCAGTCTGGTGAGGGCCTGGCAGGCATGGGGGCATGCAGTTCAGATGCACCTAGGTCCCACTGCAATGGCAGCCAGGCCTGTCTTGGGTGGGTGATCATCCCAGTCCCCACTCTCTCCCAGCTGGACAGACAGCAAGAGCTGCAGTCACCCAGGGCAGGATGCAGAGCCTTGGAGAGTAGGTGCCCAGACTCACCTTTTGCTGCAGTTGCCTCGCACCCTGAAGCCTTTTGGGTTCTCAGGGGTTCAAGTAATACCTCTACATATTCTCCAGGTAATTCCCTCTGCCAGTCCAAAGGTCTGCAGGTTGTGGGAACACCTGTAACTAGGATCTCAGGAGTCTGTGGCAGGAATGTGGTATCCTGAGGTTCCTTCACTTGCTCCTTTATTGGGTCCAGTCTGGGTCTGGGGTCTGGTCCTGATGCCAGGCAGCACCAAGCAGGCAGTGCTGCTTCCTCCTTTTTCAACCACAGTGTCTACTGTCTCCTCTCTATTACATTTCAGTGTTCTCTCTCAAAAGATCTATTGGAAGTGTGAAGGAACTCCATATTTTCCTCTCCGTGGAAGAAGCAAATTCCAGCTTTATCTACGCAGCTTTAATTCTGATACATATTATCAAATTGCTTGTAGCTGTTTTAAATTAAGGCATTGCTGGAGGTTTTTAGAACTTAGAAAAAAGTCCTGAAGTTTGCAATTCTTACCTTGTCCTGAGACTTTCTCCAGTCAATAACACTCTATTTTAGACAAACTTTCTTTCGGTTAACCTCTTATCAAAAGCTATTGACAATTAGAACTTTTCCTTTTCCTTCTCCAGGCCAGACTCCAAACATCTAGGAATGAAAAATGCCCATGGGCATAAGTGTCCTGAACATTCTTATGGATTTGGGTAAACATACTTCCTTTCATCTGGTGGGAATGCAACTATTTAAGTTTTTCCAAGGCTTTATTGCAATTTATTCTTTAGCTTGATGCTTATCAGATTAACTCTTCAATCTAAGTTACTGTATGAGTGTTGTTAACCATATAACACAGAGGCTATATTTAACGAGAATTATTTCATAAGGTTTCACCCTTCAAAGGAAAAAATCTAGTCTTGCCTGTGATATAAACTTTGGATTTTTATTTCAATCATGTATACACATTTTCAATCATTGTAGTAGTTATTAATTATACCACATGTGTATCCTTGATATATATTGGATTGCTAAGTATAAAATTTCCTATTACCTGTGTACTTAAATGTGTGATTTTTTTGAAAATGGAGAGAAAATTAACATATTTAAATGAAAAAATAAAAAAGTTTAAATGACAAAGGAGAGCATTTCTACATAGAAATTCAGAATCTCATATATTGTTATACAATATTTTACTGAAATATGTTGTTTACATTGCTTAGTAGCATGGTTCATGCATGTTTTTAGTTTTAACAAGAAAATTAAAGAATTGACATTGAATTCAAAGACAATTTTAATATTGCTGTTTTGATATTTACTGAGGCTTAATAAATTTGATAGGAATTCCAACAAAGAGATAATTTTCCATATAGGGTTAGGTTATTTTTATTTCTAAATAAGTAATTGCAGTGTGGGAATGATTTCCTGTATGTTTGCACACAAACCATTGTTTTTGAATAGAGTTGGTTCAAATTATCTAAAATATAATCAGAATATGAAACTCAGAACTCATTAATATAGGGGTTAGGTACAGTGCTCTGGAGGTCAGCTCTCTAGGCCTGAGGTCCCCTTGCTTTTGCCATTTCCTTGCTTGTAAAATGGAGACAATAATAGTATCTACCTGAAAGGTTAATGTGAGGATTCTGTGGATTGGTGCATATAAAGTCCTTAGATTAATACCTGGCACATTAGAGGTAGTCAGTGAATATTTGCTAGAATTATGTCCTTTATTTTTTTCCTTCTCCCCTATACTAGCCATTACCACAAGCAAGAAGATCATGAGTATGAATATTAATATCCAAGTGAAATATTCAATAGTAGATAAAATGAAAAATAGCAACCACCCAGTTTGTAGAACTTAATCTGTTCTTTGATGACTTTTGCTGCTTGTCCAAAAGAGAGTTAAGGAAACAAAAATAGGATTTATAGCTATTTATGGGAAAATGACAAAACATTTGGAGGGATTGTTTTGTCTCTTTTGAAGAAAGAAGCCTCTGGAACAATCTTGCACTCTCCGTGTCATTTCTTCATATTGCTGTTAGAAAAGGTGATCCAGGCTGGAGAAATCTAGACAGGTAATTTTGGAAAACAATATTTAACTTCTTCAGTGATAGCCAGGAATCTTTTGAATTTTGTTTGAATGTTACATGAATAAGTAGAACATTACTATCTTAATTTCTGGTTGATCAACAATATTTACTGGTAATTTTTGCCAAATTGTTTTCTTTGTATTCCCCAGTTACAGTCAACCATCACTTATTTAGATTGATAGGATCTGGTGGAAAGTTCAGGCTGCAAAGTATTCCAAAGTAAATTTTTATATAACAAAAGAATTACTTTTATATAAAAGCAGAACTATGACTAAAGCTGCATGAAATAATTATTACATAGTAAAGTTTGTGATAAAATCTTCCTTAATGAAGAGATACATTTTAGTTAGTTCACTAAGAATTGATGCTTCTCAAATACTTGAGAAGATTTGCACATAGTTGGCTTGGTGAAGGAGTTCATTCTCTTTGTAAAGCATGCTTGCTCTGTTTGATCCTTTTTGGAAAATGGTACAAAGGGAAATGACATAAGATTTAATAAGATTTTACCATCTAGCCCTTTCTATTTGTTTCCAAAGGGCCATATACATCCACTGATTTAACCTTTAATTGTTTTCACAAGGGGACTTTTTATGACCTAGTCATAGAAAATATAGGGGGGTCAAGTAAGTGAAAAAAAAACCACAAAAAACCTGTTACCCTGTGAATGTATGTTCTAGGAAGGCAATAAATGACTACATGAAAGACCAGTCACACTGAGTAAGAGCTGAATCACAGAGAGTCAACTCTAGTTTCTACCACGTACTGTAACCTTGGGCAAATGCCTTAAGGTCTGTAAGCCTCCATACTTATGTATGAAATAATTATGACACTAAAGCATATACATCATTGGGTTTTTGTGGGGATTAAATAATGTAACACAGACAAACAAATAAATAATATAATGCATACAAATGTGCTTAGAGGTGTCTTACAGAGTGATTTCATTAATTTCCAACACCTAATTCTTGCTGGTGATAGCCAAAGGCTCTGATCTTTCCTCCTAGAACCTTGTGTCTCATTCCTACTTACCACTTCATTTGAGTATCTCAAAAACACCTCAAATTTAACACGTCCAATTGGGGTGCTTAAATTTTGCCTCTCAAAACCCTGTTCATTACTTACCCTATCTTTCCCATCTCAGAAAATGTGTTAGCCCTTTTTTGTGGATATGTGTAGAGCCTTCTATTCGACCTATTTCATCTTTTGCTGTGGAGTAGTAAGCTGTCATCCTGTGAGTAAACTGTAGAGAGGCCCACGTGATAAGGAACCAAAGCCTCTAGCCAATAGTAAACCACAAACTGAGGCCTTCCAACAAACACGTGTCTCAGCCAGGAAACAGATTCTGCCGCCTCATTTGACCCCTGACCTGGCTTCCCACCCAGCTAATAGCTTGATTGCAGATTCATGAGAGACCCTGAGCCAGGAAAACACAGCTAAGTGGCTTTTGAATTTCTGACCTCCAGAAATTGTGTAAGATAGTAAACATTTGTTGTTTTAACTGTCTAGTTTTTGGAGAAATGTGTTATAAAGTGATAAATTACTAATGCAGATTTTGGTACCTGGAGGTGGAGTGTTACCATAACAGAACCTGAAACATGAGGGTGACATTGAAGCTGCACAGTGGGTTTTGAGGAGAGTGTTAGGCTTCTAGTACTTGAAGAAGATATGTCTAGAAACCTTATGGTCTTCAAGAAATGGCGTGAGGGCTTGTAAGAAAGTGAGGAAAATCTCAATGGGAAACGGAAGAGGGGAAATCTTTTTATGGAGTGTCAGAGTGTTTAGCAACACTGCTGTTTGCAGTTATGTGAAAAGTAGAAAATGTGCCTAATAAACCAGATGATCTAGCTAGAGAGATCCCTGACCACAGAATCTCAAGTGCTGCCTGGTTTCTTCTTGAGGCTTATAGCAAAATGTGAGAGAAGAGAGAGAAACTGAAGAAAGGACTGATAAAATGAGTCATGACTTTACAGTTTTAAGAATTCTCAGCCTCCCAAGATAGCGAACAATGCTCAAAGGAAGAAATGGCTTCTGAGCAAAGATCACATGCCAGGAAAATATGGTTCATGGATGAAGCTGAGAGCAGCACAGTCAAATCTTTTAAGACCTCAGAAATATCAAAGGTGGTGCCTCAGAATTGTATTCACTGAGACTCTAGTCACTCTACAGAGATGAAGGGTTGCCTCACAGTTCCTCCTCAATCAAGCAGTAGGATTTCTAGGGACCTTAAGGGCATTGACCTTCATCCTGTTGGTGGGAGCCCCAAGACTTGTCTTCTTTTGAAAAGATTTATAAATTTGACTTTTGTCTAATATAGTAGACTCCAATAAGATTCATAGGAGACCCACAAAATTTTTAAAAGAATTATACAAGCAGAAAAATCATGTATTTGGACTAAAAGGGACACAGAGAAAACAAGATGAAAAGAGGTCTTTGGACCTTTAAATTCTATGGCAGAAAGCAGGTTAAGAAAATGACTTAGCTTCAAAGATGTGTTACCTTTCATGAAAAAAGAAAGATTCAGATGACAGAACCAAGAGTACAGAAGGTAGACTCAAGAGCTGTAGAGAATTATTCTCAGGCCTTGAGTCTTCATCAAAGAACCTTTGACATTTCCTTGTCTGGATTTCATAACTGCTATGAACCAGTGATCTCAGTCTGCTGTTATTCACAACTTTGTATCGCTCCCTCTTATGTTGAACCAGCATTGAACTGTGTGACCAAAGTACACAGCAGATTTCATGGTGTGTCATTTTGACATTAGGTTATTGAAGACTGCTGCTTCCATGTTGAGTGCATGCTCTCTCTCTCTCTGTACTCCCACCCCCATCATTCACTTTTACTGAATATGTTGATATTTGCTTGTATGTAACCCTACAGGATTATTATTAATAGTATTAGTAATAGTTTTATGCATTATAGTATGCATAGTGCAAGTTTATGCCTGTTATCCTAGCATACATAATTGTTTCTTCCCCTTTCCCCCAAATGCCCTGGATTGAATAATAAATTATATGAATAAAATTATTATTAACATCTCTAGCATCTTACACATCTAGCCATATGTCCATTTACATGATCTAAAACCATACCACTGTGGAATGTGTATGTGAATGTGAGAAAGAGAGAGGAAAATAAAAGTAGGAAAAGACAGAGAAAGCTGTCCTGGGATCTAAGTATTTATCATATTTTTGTTATGTTTTTTACTATTCCCTCTGCCTTTCTGGCTGAAAAGTAATTAGGTAAGTAAGAAAAATCAGATACTATAATAAGTTGAGTGTTAAAGGTATAATTCCCATATTCTTATTTGGCTCTGGGAAGCTTAATTTTGAGGGTCAGCATAGCTGGTATCAGAAAATCCAACTTTTACATAGATGTTTCAAGTGTGTTTTGAATCCATTTAATTTTATATCTATTTTCTTTCATGCAGGATTTGAAATTCGAAGGGGAAGGCCTCAACGAATACATTCCTATGTCACTTTTAAAGACTGGTAAAACATTTGAGAAGTATGTCCCTTAATGTTGGATTTAATGCATTTTATTTATTTTGTACATATGTTTTGCTACTGATTGAGTATGGGCCAATTATAGATGATAGAGACCTCCTAGTTCACTTCACCTGAAGGGTCAGGTTTTTGGAAAGCATGACCCCATTTCATCCTAGGATACATTTGGGCCCCTTCATCTATATGATATTTCGGAATGGGGCATTACAGGAATGGTAATACAGCTGGGAGTTATATCTTACTTGTCTCCTAGAAAATATCAAAATCCTTGTTTCAGTGCGGGAACTTTTCAGGTTTGGATCTGGCAGCTGCCCTTCCTACATTCATGTATAGAAGATGCGGAAGCAGCAGGTTGCAGGGTGAGGGACAGTTCTCAAGTTGGATGGTCTCACTTTGAATCTCAGCCTCTACCCTTATGATAGTTAAAAGAAGGTAGTCAGCATCCCTCAGCATCCGTTTCTCATCAGTTAATCAGAAATAAGAATACCATATCGGATTATTTTAAGGGTTAAATCAGATAAGAAATGCAATGTATTTGAGAGAGTGCCTTGAGCATGCAGCATTCAATAAATACTAGTTAGTATTGTATACCAGTGGGTCTCAGCAGGGATCAGTGTTGCCCCAGGGAACATTTGGCGATGTCTGGAGACATTTTTGATTGTTAGTGGGATCTAGTCAGTAGATGTTAGTGGGATCTAGTCAGTAGAGACAAGGAATCCTGCTGAGCATACTACAATGTGCCAGACAGTCCTGCAACAAAGAATTATCTGATTCAGAATGTCCATAGTGCCAGGTTGGGAGTACGTTAGTGCTGCTTACTCACAGACATTTTCTTGAACTTCTAACCCTAGCATCAGTGCAAATAAGATATCACCTGGAACTGGACCTGTCTCCCTGTGAGGATTATCTAGTGTCTGAGAGAATAGGCTGTGCAGACAGGATTATGTATCACTAAGGCATCGCTTCAATGATTAGGTAGCTCAAGGCAGAGATGAGATGGAGAACAGCATGCCTCCTATGCCAAGCATTTCCAATGATAGGACTTGATACTAAGATACCTACAAGACTTTATATGTGAGAGAGTTCATTACAGGCTAACATTCAATAGTGAAAATAGGAACTAACCTAAATATCCAATGATAAGGGATCATTTAAATAAATTATGGTAGATGCCTAGAATACTAGATAATACCTAAAAATTATATGTTAGCAAAAAAAAAATAATACTCTTATGGCAAATGCCCATAACATACAAAGCAAAAAATACAATTTAAAAGATAGTATTATTCATAGCATCAGTCTCATTATGTAAAGAAAAATTTTTTTTAAAAGTGTGCCTTGCTAAACTCAGCTATAAAGAATAGAAGCCAGTATTTTTCCAGTGGTTATTTCTGGGCTGTAGGTTAATGGGTGATTTTTTTTTTGTGGGTGGTGATGGTGGTTTTTAATATAATTAAAACATTTTTAAATAACACACAAACACATACACAGTTATAAAATTAAGATGTGCTCTAGAAGAGAGAAAACAAGAGTAATAACATGCCTTAGGACCTAATGCAAAAGTGAACTGATGCCTAGATCTGGTTCCTGACCTAGAATATGGCTTCTCCAAGGGGACACACATCCGTGAACTTGTCTCTGGGTACCTGGTATCAGGTTACAGCTGTGACTTAACCTTTCAATGTGCATTGTGCTCCTTTCTCACTTTAAGGAAGGTATTTTTAGAAAATCTTTAATTACAAAGAACTGAGATTCTAACCAGGAACTGTGTTTTTTCTTTTTATCTTTTGGATTATAATCATGAATTTAGTGTCTAATTATTTAGATTAAGTGTTTAGAACATTTCCAAGTGCTTTACAATTCTTGCTAAGGGAACAAAGAAAGAAACTGAGGAAATCATCTCACTGTGGTTAACATAAAATCTTTGATGTCTACTAATGAAATCTGTTTACCTTCATAACTGTATAATAGGACCATTAAAGACAATAGATTCAGTAGTTTAAAAGTAATAAAATTTACAACAAAGTGTATTTAATTTGAAATTGAATTGCCAGCAAATGGGTGTCCTAATGAACCCTTGTGTCAGTGTAACTCTAACCAAATTAAGGGAAATCATTTGTATCACAGGCAACTAAATCAGCAATGAGACCCAAAAAGGCTATTCCTCTGCTGAGGGTATAGTCGTTGTCACAGATGGCCCTACTGATGGAATTAAGCTTAAGTCAGGAGATGTGAGATGTGGATCCTTCTTAATTCAAATGAATTTGGGAAGGCAGAAGAACACTCTCAGGATTGGAGAAGCTGACAACAAAAATAAAAAGGAGTCAACAATAAAGAAGAACCTCAAGATACAGTTAGTAAATGTTAATAGGAGGAAAAAAGCCTAGGGAACATTTCGAGAGTCAAAATAGATCTTGATCTCTAAGCACTGCATTAAAAAAAGAAAAACTTTATGTTATATCAGCTAATCATCTATATAATGGATTTTTTTCCCTCAAAGTTTCCCTAACAGTCTATTGAAGGGAGAGAGGATAGGAAGTGAAGTGGCAAAAAGTGTTATCGAATATTGGATCTGATGATTTCTGAAGCAAGTGACATCTTGAGAGATCAGTGGCCGATGCAGTGAGTCTTATGTTTTATAGGGCCACATCTCTTAAAAGCCACTCACTTTATATAGGGCCACACCTCAGAAGCCACTCACCTCGTCGATTTGAATCAATTGCAGCACCTGTAATGTGGTGTTTACCTACTTTCTAGCTAGTCTGACAAAATGTTTAAGGAAAACATCAAACTGTGTCGTGAGTCTAAAGGCAAACCTTTTTGTTACACTCCATTGTCAATTTCTCTTTCTTTTATCTTCTTTCTTTTTTAACTGCTGCAGAACTCCAAGTCAACCATTCATTGCAGACCTAAATATTTGTAAAAAGGACAGTGCAGCCCAGCTTGGTACCCTCACAGAAGTAACTAATGACTCAAAGGGAGCAGCAGGACCCCGCTGGAAGGTGAGGCTCTTGCCACTGACTTTTTCTCTGATGCAAAATGTTAAACGATGAGATCAATTGTATTGACCCAGCTGCCTGCTGTGCTTTTTCTCCTGTAGGACTCTTTAGAGAAACTTTAGCAGGTCTCTCTCTCTCTATAGATAGATAGATAGATAGATAGATAGATAGATAGATAGATAGATAGATAGATAGATAGATGAGAATTCTATGCTGAAATAGAATGGCTAAAAACTCGACAAAGCTACTAAAATTCCTCAAAACAGGTTGTCAGTAAGGCCAGGCTCCATCCCACTAGACAATGAGTCAGGCCTGCCACCATGCAAATGAGACGAGGCTTGAGATTTGATGAATCTTCTGTCTCCTTTCCCTACTTGGCTGACACTCGCTTTGAGGAAGGTTGTAAATGCAAGAGAGATTGTGGTATAATTCTTCAGACTGGCATTTCTGCCCCCTAGTCACCATTCGATTATCTTCCAAATTGCTGTGTTTCAGAGAGATAAAGATTTTTTATGGCTTGCTGACTTGAAACAACCACGAGAACCAGTGAAGAGATGGCTAAGCGGCCATGCATAGTAATTCCACTGGTAAATGACAAAATCTTTGTTTGTATGACATTTCCAAAATTACTACAGAAGATGAATCTGAAATACAAAATGTCACATTTGGCATGCAAAACTATCACAATATATTTCAGTATAAAATTCATAGAGGCGTTTAATTTAGAATGTGTTTAATAACTCACTCTGCCTGCATCAGTAATCCTGCCTTGAGGTTTAAAAAGATTGTCTTATTTATTCACATGTTGTTAATTTTTAAAATATTTTTGGAAACCAAAATATTAAGGTTAAGTCTTTATTGTTAATTAAGATTTTCTAATTAAGCCAAAAATAATTGTTATTCCGATTAGTTTTTAAGTATGATTTGTGTGAAAAAAAACAAAGAAAGCTGAACAAGTTTCAATGTTTATTTAACTGTAATTTAATTCCAGAAGCATACTATCTATATGGAAATATATATTATCTCCCACAAACTAAAGTCTAGGCAGGATTAAAAAATGCTTACTGTTGGCTGCAGATTAACTGGTGGTGCTACTAACTTGGGTTGCCAAGACAGTAGTAACTTGCTTCCAAAAAGGACATTATTTTTGCTTGAAGTACAAGGTTACAGGATCCTTTGAAGTCAAATAATTCTGAAAAATATTAGGGACTTGTAAGTAT
This sequence comes from Homo sapiens, assembly GCF_000001405.40. Taxonomy (NCBI): domain Eukaryota; kingdom Metazoa; phylum Chordata; class Mammalia; order Primates; family Hominidae; genus Homo; species Homo sapiens. The sequence continues at coordinate 9,841,298 of NC_000006.12, read as the reverse complement.
AGAAAACATGACTTCACTACATTTGAGTTATTATTAATAATAATCATAGTTTAGTTTTTGTTTATTCTGAAAAAATAGTCCACTAAAAATCTTATCAGTGTTTATAAAGTTTTCAGCACTTATTAAAAATGAAAATGACCTGCTTCTCTCAGCTGTAGGTGAAAAATGAAATTCAAATGCCCTGTAAAATATTCCTGAGTCATGTCTCTCAGTCACACACAATTCGTGCTAAATTTCAGGAAAGGGCACGTACAGATACTATCCCACCACCCCCTCCCCCTGCCATTTTTGACTCTCCTTTGAAGCCTGTGAGGCAAGTTGACATCATGTTGAGACTCTGGAAGTATCAGATCAAGTGAGGTGTTAGTCTGACCTGTTCTGCACTCTGCTCAACGTGGCATTATGGACAGTGGTTAGTGTTAAAGTCAGGACTGTCACCTTTCAGACTCCAAATTTGAAGCTTACTGCCCATGTTCACCCACCCGAGATATCTTAGAAGGCATGCTGTGTGGTTTTTAGAAGTGTTGGTTTCCTGTTAATTCTATCTTACTATAATAGGTGAATGGTTTCTGATGTCACAGATCATTAACATACCATGCTGAAAAAAGGCTAAACTTTCCCTCCCATCAACGGCAGGTTTGCCTTTTGACCCCCTAATTATATATCTTCTGTCCTCATCTGTTATCATTGGTAATACCTGACAATTACAGGTTGGATAAAAATAATTGTCTACTTTTTTCCCCCCTGAGAAGCCCATTGTTGCTAATTGTGTGGTTTCACCCAGTTCCTGCGTAATTCAAGAACCCCACCTTTTGTGGAAAATGAGCAGTCTCAACCACCTCAGCCTCTGCAAATCCAGATCAGATGCCTGAGGGGCCTTAAAGACAAGGCTCCTCCAGGCTCTTATGTCCTCAAAGTGTCCAAGTGTCCCTGCTTGGTCGACTGGGAGGCTGTGTCTTGCAGTGGTGGCAAACGGAGCAACTAAAGACCAGAAAACACTCCGTCAGGCACAATGGAAACTTTTATGATGTGGGGGTGTATTTCCACGAAAACCTTTATGTGGTAAGTAGCCTGTCTACATCTAGCCTCTTCTTTTTACTCAGCTTCTCCACTCTTCCTATCTATCTCCACCTTCTATCTTTGTTCATGTCACTTTAGATAAAATACTTTGTGTAATAAACATAAAGGATTTAATGCATGCCTACATTCATTCATTCATTCATTCATTCAGCAAATTCCTAGTAATCAACCATTATGTGCCAAGCATTATATAGTCCATAGGTAGAAACCCTAAATCCTGTGTAAAATGGAAAGGTCATTTTTATATATCAAGAACATACTTTATGGCTTCTTGATATAATTTTCCCCCTTTTCAGATTGTGCAAGCTGAGAGATCACTGACGTGTACTTTGTAAGTAATGCATGTGCATGCATGGAGGAAGTGAGGGTCACTGATTTGAGGTGAGAACCAGATGGTAGGTCAGAAGGTCGTTGGTGGGACTGTTCAGGAAATATATGATGGATATAGGGAATGTGTTTACCATACAAAGGAATTGTAGAGGAGACAGTACTAGGAAAGGAATCGGTGGGTACAATTAGAAAGTGATCTTGGATGCAGGGATTAAAACAGGGGTGGTGGGAAGTGTTAGGGGTGGGTCAGAGAGCATCAGGTTACCTGGAGAAACAGGGAGGGGCTTCTTTGGGATGTCAGACTGGACGGATTGTGCCTCCCAGGGAGCTCCAGCCCAAGAGAAAATGAAGAAGAGGGGCTCATCTCATGCAGATGGCTTGGATGCTAGGTATGGCACAGACTGTTCACAAATTTAAATTGCCTTTTACACTATTAACATCAATTTCTTAAAAAAAATTATAATCGTGATATTTAAGAAGAAAATAATTTTCCTTTAAAATAGGAGTGTACCTTCTTTCCTCATTTTCCCTTCGGTCTTGTGTGAAAAGATATTCTTTTCATCAATTTTATTTTGCGGTGTTTCACTAAGGATGGTAATATGCTCTTCACATGAACATATTTTTCAGACAATGTATTGTGTTTATTCTGGCTACTGAATGACCACATAAAAAAGTGTAAGTGAAAAATGAAGCTGTAAAAATGAACAATTTTGTAAAGATCTATAAACAACAAACGTATGCTGCTGTTATTTACCTCCAATATGTGAGAAAGAAACAGATTTCAACCCTCATTTCTCACCACCTTGGCTTTTTACATATCGAAGACCCTTGAGGACAGTGACTACTACTTTTTTTTTTTTTTTTAACTGAGCAGCAACTTCCTAGTGAATTGTAAGAAATGGAAAAAGTATATAATGTCCATAGAAGCCACTCCATTGAATAATGTGTGAAGTCCCAGATGACCACTTCGTTGTTTAGAAGTTGATAGGGGTTAAAAACAGCAATCAAAACAAACAAACAAAAAGGCCAGATGCTATGTAGACGTTTAGTGAATGTTGCAGCTCTTGGGGAGGAAAAGATCTCTTTCCAGACCCACCACAGGAGGCATGGCTCAGGTCCCTATAACAAAAGACAGACTAACAAGAGAAAAGCATGCACATTTTTGTAATAGAAGTCTTACATGACATGGGAGACGTTATAAATGAAGATCCAAAGAAGTAGATAAGCTTGTGTATTTTTATACTTAGGTTTGATGAAGAGTGGACAATCATGGTGAAATACAATTCGAGGACAAAAAAGTAAGACCTAATGGTAATAAACTGGGGGAACTTAGCAAGGGCTATTTGTTCAGATCCTTCTTGGACTGTCTGTGTTTAGTTTCTTTCCTCTGGGTGTGGGAAGGGTACTGCTCACATGAGGATCTTATGACCTACTTCCGGGGAGAAGTGTGAGGAAAGTGAACTTTCTAGGTGTTATGACTTGCCTCAAGGAAGAGCGGTGAGGGGAAGGTGAGAGTAGCTTTCCTGCTTAATATTTCGGGGTAGCAGATCTTGAATCTTATCACAGTTTAACCCTAATCCATATCCACTTCAAGCTTCAGACAGTTTGGAGAACTAGTAGAGACACCAGCCCTCTCTTTGAAACGGGCATTAAAACTCTTTCTGGGAAAGAATTCTTCGTAAAGGAAAAGAGACCTTTGATAAGATTCACCTAGAAACTAGGCAAGCCTCAGCTGGCTTGTCTGTGAGATAGGTACAACAATACCTGCCTACGAGAGGCATGTGAAAAATGACTGAGCTGACGCTTGCGGAAATTCACAGTGCCAATACGCAGTAAGAATTCAGAAGCTTCTTGTATTATTGTTGTTATAATTATGGTGTCTCTTTGTTAGTGAAGCCTAAAAATTCTTACCTGTTGGAATTTTTCTTAAATTAATATGATAAATGTGTATATTTCAAATAACCTTTTTTTTCCTTTATTTAAGGTTCAGGGGTAACATGGGGAGGTTTGTTATACAGGTAAACGTGCATCATGGGAGTTTGGTGTACATATTATTTTATCACCCATATGCTAAGCATACCAAGATAATTTTTCCTCATCTTCTCCCTCCTGCCGCCCTCCACCCTCAGGAAAGCCCCAGTGCCTGTTGTTCCCCTCTTTGTCAACCTGTGTTCTTGTTTTTTAACTTTCACTTACAAGCGAGAACATGTGGTATCTGGTTTTCTGTTCCCTGCCATTAGTTTAAGTAGGATAATGGCCTCCATCTCCATCTATCTTGCTGCAAAGGTCATGGTCTCATGCTTTTTTATGGCTGCATGGTATTTCATGCTGTATGTACCACATTTTTTTATCCAGTCTGCTATTGATGGGTATTTAGGTTGATTCCAAGTCTTTGCTATTGTGAATAGTGGTGCACTAAATATACACGTGCATGTGTCTTTATGGTAGAATGACTTATATTCCTTTGGGTATATGCCCGGTAATGGTACTGCTGGGTTGAATGGTAATTCTGATTTCAATTTTTTTGAGGAATTGCCACACTGCTTTCCACAGAGGCTGAACAAATTTACACTCCCACCAACAGTGTATAAGCATTCACATTCCCCGTAACCTTGCCAGCATCAGATAACCTTCAAATTAAACTTCTGTTGAGAACAATGTAGGTTAGTAATTTTTTTTTCTTCAATAAAGGATCCTAAAGGCCTTGTTAAGAATACTGGAGTATAGGTGAGGGTTGTTAGTCTCAATTGGTTGTGAAGATGATTTTTCCCCTGGGGAGCCACTTACTGTCAGAACCAGAATCTGAGGACGGGCACCACAAAGGCATCAGGTATTGGTCAGCTCCTGAACTGAGGACTTGGTCCTCACCATTGGTCTCAAAGAAATTTCAGGAATGTGGTGGTAGCTAAGAATTTTCATTAATAATTTTCTAGAAAGGGTCCAATCAGCCATCAGCCTAATGGGCAGTCACATTATTTTGGTGCATTGTAATCAAGTGCCTAAAATTTTAAAGCATGGAGCTGGGCTACAAAAAATATCATTCAAAGAGATTGCTTTTGAGAGCCATCTGCATAAATAACTATTTACATCAAAAGGCAATATAGAATGTTTTCATTATTGTTATTATTTGTTTAGATGCCCATTGTGTAGGAACATTAGAGTGTAAGCCACATCTATTAATATGTTTGGTAGGTAGAAGACATTCCACGTGAGCTGTTGAATGATTGTAACAGGGTATACTACAGATAAAATGCCAGGAGGGATCACAGGATTAAGAAGTGCATCACAGACATCTTCAGGGAGAGGGGATAGAACCACTAAGAGATTGAGGTTGCAAGATGTTCAAAAACCTAGAAGCAGAACTACCATTTGACCCAGGAATCCCATTACTGGGTATATACCCAGAGGAATATAAATCATTCAGTTATAAAGATACATGCACTGCAGCACATGTTCACTGCAGCACTATTCACAATAGCAAAGACATGGAATCAGCCTAAATGCCCATCAACGGTAGACTGGATAAAGAAAACGTGGTATATATACACTATGGAATACTATGCAGCCATAAAAAGGAACAAGATCGTGTCCTTTACAGGGACATGGATCTAGCTGAAAGCCATTATCCTCAGCAAACTAATGCAGGAACAGAAAGCGAAACACCGCATGTTCTCACTTATAAGGGGGAGCTGAATGATGAGAACACATAGACACATTGTGGGGAACAATACACACTGGGGCCTGTCGGGGGTGCGGGGAGAGGGAGAGCACCAGGAAGAATAGCTAATATATGCTGGGCTTAATACCTAGGTGATGGGTTGATCTGTGTAGCAAACCACCATGGCACATGTTTACCTACGTAACAAACCTGCACATCCTGCACATGTACTCCAGAACTTAAACTAAAAGTTGAAAAAATGTTCAGAGTGTTAAAAACTGCATCAAGTCGGTAGGGAAAAGTGAAGGCTGGCAATCGCTCCAATAATAAAATGTGTTTTCCCTTCCTGCCAAACAGAACAGAAAGTATCTTGGACTATTTGAAATAGCAACCCCCAAATTTTTTCCCCTGTGTCAGAACCAAGCAAACAAACAAAAAATAATTACCTCCTGCCACAGTCAAGGAAAATTTACTCTTTAACAGCCTGACAAAATGTCACTGAATTACATCTATCCCTTGGTATCACCTAGCAAAATCCTGGATCCCCAAAGAAATACACTGGGCTATTTCACATTCAGTGTATATAAGAAAAGTACAAAATTCAGGGTGAAAACAAACACAAGAAAAGCACCAAAACATCCAGAACTTGACAGGAAAGAGAAGTCAACTGAGGCTTTTTGCTTTCAGAATAAAAATGCTGTTGCTTAAAGTCCTATTCATTCCAATGGGCTCTACTCAATAACATCAGGTTTTTTCACTAACCACACAATTCTGCCTGCCCGTCACTCTGCTGGTAGTTTGTGGGAGACTGACAGTTAAAACAGTACATTTTAAAGCAATGTAGTTTTGTAATAACAGGAATAAATTCACCAAACACATACATGTGCACTGTATATATAAATGATATAGGGACATTTAAGATATTTATTTCATTACATTTTAAATACAAGTCTAAGACAGGTTTATCTTTATTCTCAGTCCGTGAGTTGGAGAAATTGGCTTCCATAATGTCGTTTGAGAGTGCAGAGCATCTTATGAATGCTAATTGGAGAGCGATGGTTATGTATTCCTGTGCAAAAAGAAAGAGCCGAGAAGCACTACCCAAATGAATGGGCAGGGCTTCATTCCAGGTGAAGTACTGACTGTGAGGAGGAAAGTCACTGTATACATCTGTAAGGTTACATTTTTAATGGATCTTGGAATGAGGTTACAGTGTTATAGCATCAAGGGTGGCTTTCCTTTGGCATCAGGCCGGGCTAGGAGGCAAACACATGAAGGTTAAGTGGAAGGATTACGTATAAGTATTTGAGATGGCTCCTGAGGAAAGCTGTGGATATATGAGTAAGCCCAAAGGTGTATCACTCCAGACACCAAAGCACCACTTCCAGATACTATCACTTGGATCTTGTCCCAAATAACTCTACATCGTAATGTTGGTCTTCCAGTATTGTAAGGTGGGGCTGGTCAAATACGGTGAGTTAATTTGTCTCTATCTCAGTCTCCTCATGTAAAATGAGGTAATAGCAACTCCCTTATTTGAGTTACTGTAAGAATCATATTAAATCAAGTTAAATTATGGACTCTAAGCTTAGGCACATTCGCTTTGAGTATCTTGCTAAAAAGATTTTGAATAATTCTTTGGCAGAGACATTTGGAGCCTACTTGTCTTCTGACATTTAACCCGGAACTATTTCAAATAGAAAACATTGCCTCCTTTGTTGATGGTGTTCATTAACAATGAATAGGCTTAGATCTCTGGGAAGAAAAATGCCCCAAAATAAGCCTTGTGACTTTCAGTTCTGGCAGGATGATGACGTAAGTGTTGAGGTTATCTTATTTTCCCATCCTGCCGGGATCAGGAGCCAAAAGTCATATTTTATTTTCTGATTTTGTTCTATAAGCACCTGGAAATTCTAGATAAGATATAACCAAAAGGATTTTAAATTCATAAACACTCAACAGTGAATGGGATCTCCTTGGGTACCAGGAATGAAGAGGAAATTAAAAACTAGAGAGGAAAATGAGTAAACTGGGGCTGTTGCTGCCTGGGAGAGGGGAAAACATATAATCAGTCTTGTTGATCTTAAGGTTCGGATTCATTTTTGGCTTGCATTTTTTACCTTTTTATTTTTATGTACTTATTTTTAATTGATACATAATATTTGTATATGTTTTAGGGGTTCAAGTGATATTTTGATATATGCACACAGTGTGTAATGATCCAATCAGGGTACTTAGGGCTTCCTTCACCTCAAACATTGGATTTTAGCGACCTTTCAGGAGATGAGGCTTTGAGCCTTTTAGGTATAGGGTGTTGAAAGAGCCTTTTCCATAAATTTTGGATACTCAAAATGTGTCTAAAAGGGATAGATAGACAAAAAATGTGTCCAGTAGATGGAGATAAAAGAAAAAAATCTTTTTTGGAGAAATAAAAAGTTTATCTTTCTCTATGTTTCATTTAAAATACTGTTTCTCCTAATAATCTACAGTAGGATTTCTATAATAGAAAATATATAGTGTTTAAAATTAAAAATATTTATCATAGAGATTTGACCCTCTGAACAAAGAACTTCTGAACTGGAAGCCAGATCTGAGGAAACTTCCTAGACTACACCTCTAAGAGATGAAAAAAGTGAAGTGAAAAGTGATTCGTAGTGATTTGCAAAGATTACAGAGAAGGTCTAACATACATATTATACAATTTCCAGAACAGAGACTAGCTAGAACGAGGGAAAGATATGAAGGGATTAACAGTTATTTATTAATTTCCCAGACTCATTGGAAGACATGAACTCTCAGATTAAGGGAACAGAAATTCTGAGATGGACAAAGTAAAATCAGTCCACTTCTGGACACATTCTAGTGAAACTTCAGACAGCAACAGTAGAGGACTGAAGACAATAGAAAAATATATTCAAAATTCTAAGACAAAGTTGATAAAGAAAAAAAATGTACTCACCTAACCTATTATTCAAGAGTGGGTCAGAGGTGTCGCAAATGAATACATTTTTGACTAAGGATACTGTATTTGTTTCCTAAGTCTGCTATCAGAAAATACCATAAACCTGGTGGCTTAAAATAGCAGAAATTTATTGTCTCATGGTTCTGGAGGCCAAAAGCCTGACATCAAAGTGCTGGCAGAGCCATGCTCCCTCTGGGGCTGCGAAGGAAGGGCCTGCTCCTGCCTCTCTCCTAGCTTCTGGCATTCCTTGGTTTGCAGATCCATCACTCCAGTCCTTCACATAGCCTTCTCCCTGTGTGTCTTCACTTCGTCTTCCCTCTGTGCTTTTCTGTCTCTGTGTTCAAATTTCCCTTTTTTATATGGACACCAGTTATATTGGGTTAGATTCCACCCCAATGACCTCATCTCAACTTGGTTAAATCCTAAGAGGTTCTGTCTCCCAAAGAGGTCGCATTCTGAGGTACTGGCGGTTAGGTATTCCACCTGTCTTCTTCTGAGGCACACCATCCGACACATAACAAGTATACCCTCAATGGAATGCTGAAAGAACTTACAAAGGGTGTCTTTCAATTACAAGGAAAAAGGCAGGAATGAATAACACCTTTGTATTTTTTTTAATTTCTGAATTTGAAATGTTTTGTAATTTTACAAAGGAATATAAAATATGTGCCTTTTCTATTCTATTTTAATAAATATAAGGCAATTAAGAGACCTTGAATAACAAATGGAAGAAAAAATGATCAGATAATTTGCATAATTAAATGATTATTTATTCAACTAATTGACTCAATGAAAACTCAAAGTTAAGTCAAAAGGTTGTGGCTACGGCATCTTTAGTTTTCACAAGACAAATATGCCACAGTTTGGAAACCATAGTTTTAAACCATTCAAATACATGTGAGAATCTGTCTTGCTTACAATTTGCAAGATAAATAGCTATAAAAATAGTACTATAGGAAAATATTGTTATGAGAAAATTACACAGATCCTTTGAGAGTTTGGTGAAAGATCTTACTCTGGCTTCAATTGTATTTGGTTACTTATCCATTAATGTGGATAAATACAGAATTTTTAGACCAGTACAGAAGATTGAGAGAGAAATGTGTTAAATCATTTTTTAAAATGTAAAGTCAGATACAAATTAAGAACTGTGATGATTATTTTCTTATAACTGATTATCTCACATTATTATGCTTTTTGGTGACATTTTGCAATATCATTATTGAACTTTGACAATGGTATCTGAGCTGAAAGAACCTTCTGTTAATTATCAGCTAGAACTGTTATGCTTGCAGTTCTCATTTTCAATGGGTGTGAGGATTGGCCAACCTAAAACAATGATACAAATAATAGGTTAAAGAAGCAAAAACAGCAAAATTCAGGCAAAGAACATTGATTAATGAATTTTTTAAAATTCTTAAAGGTCATGTACTCAAGTTTGACTAAGCCTCAGGCAGATTTAATGAACATGACCAGAGCCTGCTGTATGCAGTAGGTAACCCAGGCTGACTCCAAATTTGCTGACATTACAGGGTTGTTATTTCTGGAAGGATATATAATTCTGGAATAATTTCTTTAGTGGTTCCATTAAGACTATGATTTCCTTCAATATAGGGTTACAGATTTCATTTTTCACATTATCCCACACCACAAAGAAAATAAAATCATGTCTTGGATCGAGTGCCTATGTCAGCCAAAGGAAAAGAAATATTTAATTTTGATGGTACTTAACCCCATCTTATTTGATAAGTACATCTGTTTTTTTGGATCACATGTCAGGGTGTGAGTGATGAAATTTAATGACTGCTAGTTTAAAGGCAAAAAGTGATTTTGCTTACACTAAATTATGCAATCTTGAGGACTCCTTGTGGAAGAAGTAAACAGATGCCATCATATGGATGGTATTAAAGCACACGCCATAGCAAAGAAGTTACTGGAACAGAGATCTCAGAGAACAGAATGTGGCCACCCAGGCTTCCTTATGACAGAATATGGACGTTTATTAGTCCCTAACTTTCAAGAAGTTCTGTTGTTTAATTATTTGTGATCAGATGAGGCTTTTTCTTTGGACAAAGAGAATAAAATCAATTTAATTACTAATAAAATCTTTTGGGAATGCTATCATAGGAGTTTATTTTTGTATATTTAAATGAAAGGACTAAACACCGTAGGCCAAGATAAGGCAGAATGGTGATTCAGTGTGTGTTTTATAACCTGACTAGAATTCTGGCTCTAAAACGAACTTAGCAATGTGAGTTACAGCAGTTTCTCAATCTGCCTGTGCCTCCCCTATTTCAACTGCAAAATAGTCATCACAATAAGCTCCATCTCCTTAATCTTATGATGTCACCACCAGTAGGGTACTAGGTCAGAGTAAATGTTATAATTCAGCTCAGTGCCTGACATACTGAAAGACTAAAATAATGTTTAACTTAAACCAGCTTTAAAAAACCATAAACAAAACTCAAATATACACCTTCAATGAAATTTTGGTTAACTAAAGAATGTCGTTATTCTTCCTGTCTATATCATGTCCGTGATTATATTGTTTGAAAGGATATATGAGCTGCTGTGAATGAACAATATTTATACTTTGATATCTTACATCCTTCCTTTCTAAAACCAGTAAAGTTTTTAGACCCAGGTAGAAAGGAAAAGTTTGCTTTTCTTTGCCCTAATCCAATATGAATGGTGCCCGTAGAAGAAGAGGAGATTAGGACACAGATGCACACAGCGGGAAGCCTGTGTGAGGAGACAGGAACAAGATGGCCATCGGCAAGCCAAGGACAGAGTCCTCAGGAGAAACCAGCCTTGCCAACAACTTGAGCTTGGAATTCTAGTTTCTAGAATTTTGAGAACACAGATTTTTGTAGCCAAGGCACCCAGTGTATAGTACTTTGTTATGGCAGCCCTTTCATACAAATATAGGAGGGGCTTATGAAAAACTGGTGACAATAAATTGTTCTTTATTTTCTGGTAAGAAAGGAGGAGCCACAAAATACTTCAACCTTTTAGAAATCAACATATGAATCTGGCATCACTGAAATGAGCTTAATCTGTGATAGGAGGGGTGCCTGGCTCCCCTGTTCCTTTCATTTAGCCACATTAATGGAGGTTTTGGGTAATTGTAGGGTACACGTAAGTACCTCAGAGAAAATCTTACTGAAACTTCCTGTGCTGTTAGACTATTTCTTGGATCTATAGAATTTTTAAAAAGCATACCAGCCAGTTAATATGTATATATCAGTGTGGCAAGGTGTCATTATTACAGTAGTAGATGGGTACCATTTTTGTTTTACTGGAGGGAATCCAATATGAATAAAATAGCAACTTTTCAAACATGACATTTAATCCATGCATGTAAATCAAACTGAGAATCTATTATTCATTATTAAAAGGGTGGCATATTTTTATTACACTGAGAATGAAACACAAACACTGTGAAAAATTTAGTGCCTTTTCTTGAAATTTTAAGACACTTACCATATAGTCATCAAGCTGGGACTGGCACTCACTTTAAAATATAGCCATAAAATTAATAAGTTTGAAGTTTTATGCCCGAAAAAAGGATGCTCAATTTCAGTGAAATAGGCAAATTTATTTTTTATTTAAAGCTTCCTAAATACTTAAGATGGTCAAGTACTTCAGTAATGCTCCAAGTCTGATATGTATATGAAGAATATAGTTCATATTCCTGTCATTATTAGTCATGGCCACCATGTTCTTCCCTGAGGTGCTTCCTGAAAACCGCATATATCAGAAACTGATTAAAATGACCTAAAGTATTAATTCTTAAAATATGATGAACCCAACATTTTGCAAGAGGTTATTTTCTGTGTGACATTTAATATCTAAGAATTGAAATGATTTTAATAACTCATAGGAAGGAACAGTCTTAGGAAAACTAGACAGGCACATGATTGCTTTTATTGATTATTGGTTATTACCATTAATAATGGAGAGCTCTGGAGTATATTGTGCACAATATTATATTGTGCAGCTTTAGAAAGTTTTTCATTATATCAGTTGGAGGAAGTCCCTTTGTGTTAGTTCTTAAAAGGGTCACTTCTGCTGGTTAAGGGGATCTCGGACTTGTGAGACTCTTGATGGCCAGTGGCCCTTCCTCAATGACATGGGCAGTCATGGGGCATCCTACTTCCAGCCATGGCCTCTCCCAACTCAACCCCCCAACTTGCTTCCAACTGCTACTGTACATGTGCCTCTCCAGTCAAGCAAAGGGACACCCTACTCTCTTGCCCCTTGTCCCCACGAAAACAAATGAGAACTTGACCCAAAGTGTAGTAATGAAGAACACATCTTTAGAGTGAGGCTGAGCAGAGTTGGAATCCTGGTTCTGCTACTTACCAGCAATCAATACTTCAGGAAAATAATTTAAAATATCCCTGGCCTCCGTTTTCTCATTTGTGAAATGGGAAACTAATATCTAATTCATAGGGGTATTATGAGCATTAAATAATATGATGTATCAGCTCTTTAGCATAGTAGATTGCATGTAGGAAATAACTGGCAGCTATAGTTATTTTTATCTTTATAACAATAGTCCTTCATGTACAATGTTCTCTGCCTTCCTCTGTATGTTGACTTTCTACAGTCTTTCAAAACATTTCTTTAAAAAGTCTCAGACAATCCTTTCTTAATTTTCTCCTTTGAGAAAACTCAGTTTACACTAAATGTGACGCTACTTTTGTCTACATTACTTGCTTCTGGGTGATGTGAGAGGTTTTAAGGCAATGGATACAGAAAATCACTGTATCACTTATTCTCTAGGAGGAGTGGGAGAGTACCATTTACTGAGTGTCTGTAGTGTGCCAATTACATCACTATGCACTTAACCTATACTATCAATGCTAACATCACACAACCAAATTCATTGTTAAACCCATTTTGCAGTTGAGAAAAACTGAGGTTTTAGAGATGAGAACTTGCTCAGATGTTTGAAGCTGAACTTAAGTCCACATGTGAGTGATTCCCCAGTCCAAACATCAAGGTTCACAACATGCCCTAAAGGAAGCAGCAATCACTGATATATTAGTTTTTCATATCTGCAAATTACCCACCAATTTCTATCCTTTTTCTTTGTATTTCTATCAGATTTGTTTCTACGTCTAAAGCCAACCTTCTCTCTCTTTCCAGTCTCTGCTTTCTGCCTCTCAAAGGATAGGCTCTGTATTATGTAGTAAATTAACATTCAGAAAAGAGGCTGTCACATTGCATGACATTGACAGGTGGTCATTCAATCTTAAGAATACTTGGCAGCACCAGAATGTAAGATTCCTGACAGTAGGTATTTTGGTGTTTTGTTAACTTCTGTATCATCAGCAACTAGAAAGGCATCTGTCTTAATAAATATTTTCAAAATAAACAATTCTAAGACTCAGAGTCACATTGAGGTTGTAAAAGAAACAACCATTGACTACCTTTTAGTTGAATTTTTTTTTTTACTTTAAAACATTTTTGGCGTTTTATGCAGATTCACATTTTAAATTTTATAATGCCATAAATCCATCTTTGTCCTTTGTGTCTGTTCTCTACATCTGTTCACATCCAATGTATTCAGAGTTAAGAATGCCCTAGTTACAAAATAGTAGTTCTTGTTCACTTGGCATGCAATTCAACAATCAAATCATTTTGAATTCTCTAAAGAGGAGGAACTTGCTTCTATATTTGAACTCACTCACATTCAGAGGGAATATGCTTTAATATTTCGACATCTATACAAAATGCTTTACAATTACTTTTAAGGCATTAATTCTCCTATGAACGCTGAGTGAAGTCACGAAGGACTGAGTAGGGCAAAGAATTTTTCCAAGGTCACACTGCCTGTTAATTGCAAAGGATGGGCCTGGCTATCTTTTCCCGTCATCTGCCTCGTACATATATAAAGCAATAGTCAATGACTTTGAACTGATGAGGCTCTCAAAGCTTATGGTGGTGGCAAAAAACAGATTTATGTTCAAACAAAATCATCACTAAACTCTGGGACCAATAAAGGTCAATTTAGCAAACTGCAAATCAGGTCATATCCAGCCTCTGCTCAAGATTTTCCATTGCATTTAGATCTTCACTGCATCTATAATAAGATCCAAAATGCCTTACCTGGGCCTTCAAAGAGTATATGATCTGGCTTCTATCCCATTATCTACTTTCATTGCATTCTAGTTTTTTGCTTGTGTATTTTAGTTCAGCCTCACCGTCATTTTCTGAACACACTGAGCTCATTTCTTGCTGCAGGGCCACTGAATTCATTACTGCTTCTTGCTTAGTAGGGTTTTCTCTCACACCTTGACATGGCAGTTCTCAGGGTAAGGGTTGCTTCCTTAGGCAAGAGTTTCTTAACAGAATAGCCCCCTCCTCCAGTCATTTTCTAGTCCATTGCTATTTATTTTCATTATTTCAGTATCAATTGTGACAGGCTAAACATTTATCACTACTGATGAGGTCTCATATATTTGTTTATTGTGTATTCTCTTTCCTATCAGACTATACTCAGTGAGAGTAGAAAGCTTTTTGTCTCACTCAATTATTTTTATCCTCAGTGCCAAAAGTGGTGTCTAAATGCAAAATAGAGATTTAATAAATGTGCATGAATGATTGAAGGGAAACACTAAAGTCAGAGATAGGGGGTTTTGAGATAGTCAACTCAATTCAGTAGCTGGAGAAACATGAGCAAGTCATTACTTTCCTAAATCATTTTCTTCAATCACCTGTAAAATGGGCTAATGTCGACAACGTTACAAGGTTGATGTGCAGATCAAATGTGATAACGTGCATATAAGAGCTTTGTAAGATATAAAATGCTGCACAGGCATTAACTTCATTGCTAGATATCTTTGGTGCAATGTGGGCTGCCCAAAGGGAAAACGTTGATGAGCAATTATTGCCAAAAGTTTTCTCCTTTCCAAATGATATATTTCCATGCTCCTTGTAAAGCCATTTGTGGTTAATTTGTTGGTCTTTGATCTAATCAGGCTGCAGATGTTCAGAAATGCCATCTTTTTGTGCATTGAGGCTCACTCACTGGAGTTTGTAAAAGTAATGGGCTGTGCCCAATTTTTCCCCAATGTGTTCAACTCTCAGGGACAATGAAAGGAAAGATCTATCTTTTGCCTAACAAGGAGAAACTAAAAAGAAAATTTGACTTTTTGTTTTCACAGTCAAAAAAAAAAAGTGAGAGAGAGGAGAATCCCAGAACTGAACTTTCTAAATTAAAATATTCAATTAGATTTTTTCCATCTCTCTAGAGTGAAATATTCGTAGTTGAACATCTGAGTAGCATGTGAAGAGATGAGTTATGACATATTGAGGTTGAGGTCAGGTAATGGAATTGCAATATAATGAGATGACATACCATATATTTTCTCTTGATTTTAGTCATGTTTGATTGAAAATGGTGGAAAGGTCATATTGCTTAACCAGTAATTATTCAGGTATGACTCAGTTAGATTTTAGGCAGAAATGTAGTTGTCGTAAGCAGTAGAGGATCCAACATATGATCAAGGATTCACAAACCTGGCTTGCTTATCTTTGTGTCCACACTGGGTGGTGATTCTCAGGAAAGTGTGGGCTGAAGGACCATCTGATTCACGATTACCTCACATTCTTGTTAAAATTCAGAGTACCAAGCCCCACACCAGACTCACTGATTCAAGGTAAGCGTGAGGTCTGGGAAGTCTACGCTTTCAATAATCACTCATGGGTAATTCTTTTACAAACTAAATTTCTGAGACTGAGAGTTTAGGGTCTTGAAAACATCACAGTATGATTGTTGGTGCTTCTCAAATAATTAAATTCGTTGTTGAGAAATTGTAAAATTAGATTCAGGGACTTTAGGTTTGCGAGATCATGGAATTGTGCCCTTCATTTAAGGAGAATTTTTATTCAGAATTATTCATTTGTAAGCTACTGGTAAACTTAGCCCTTTAGAAAGACTTATTCTTTAAGAATCCCTGATAGTAGGATTTTATTGGAGTAAAAATGCTTTTTCTTGATAGGCAATATGTCTGTTTTGGTTAACAGAACTCAAATCAAGCAATTTAGGAGAGAGAGAACTGGCTAGATACAGAGAAATATCTGGAAGAGGAGCCCCAGCTTCCCAGTTTGTAGGAATCCTGAAGAGCGGTAAATAGGATAGAGCAGAATGACCTTGAGGTCTCTCACCATGAATCCGAGGTGGGTTGTCCCTAGTTGGCCCCTCCTACATTCAGGAAGCTTAGCGTGACTGGCTGTGGTGCAGATTGCCTAAAATCAGATCCAAGCTCTACCCTCCACATCTGTTTTGTATAACCTTGGGCCTTCCCTCAGTTGTGTTATTTGTAAAATTGAGTCTATAGAATCTACTTTATAGGATTAGGTGGCTATTGAGTTTATAAGGATAAAGTGCTTTTAAAAAGTGTCTTGCACTTAGGACATGAATGTTAACTGCTGATATTACACCAATTTTTAAAATTAAGGAACCCAAAAAATAATTTTCCTAAAACAGGAAGCTGGAACTACTAAATTTGACATGAGAATGCTGGTTTTCCCATGGTATAGGAAGTAAGAATCTCTCTCTTCCGTTAAGAAGCAGTGACAGTTGTAGTTGTTACTACCCTGTGTTCTTGATCCCTAGGCCAAGATAGGTTTCTAAGAATAGCTACTTTTTCTTATCCTATAGCAGAAAGACTGGAGATTAGAGCTGATTTACCTATTTATTTTTCTGGACTGAGAGAATAGAAAAAACAGTAATGGTTTTATGAAACTTTCAGGGGATAACCTAGATGACTCTATTCTGTGGCTTCAATTCCCACTCAGGTATTCAGAATTGTCTGCCTCAAAGAGAAAATTTTGTTATTTCTAATGCACATTAAGTATACTGATTTGCTGTGTTGACTATCATAGAATATCAGATTTGGAAGATATCCTTGAGTTTAGTTCCCATTCTCCTTGTCTGACACACCGTCCTTGGGCCTGTGTCTGGATCCTATCAGTGTCTCTGCCTGTACATTTGCTTGAGAACCTGTGGATTAGAAATGATAACCTCAAAGGTCTTGTCCAAACTGAAGACAAGATTCCTTGATCATAATGAGCAAAACACCTTGGGGGAGGAAGAAGAATTTCCTGATGAATAGGCTTTCATGAGAAAATAATTCTGTCTCTCTCTCTCTCTCTCTCTCTCTCTCTCTCTCTGTGTGTGTGTCTGTCTGTCTGTGTGTGTGTGTGTGTGTGTGTGTGTGTATACAGGCATTTGAGAAAATAATTTTGACAATATTTAATATGATAAGTATTACACATGTTAATATGTATTTAAGTATGTGTTTAAGAGGAGACAACATTAGAAGTTTAGATTGCTATGATACTGCATTAGAGTCCTGAATATGATGCTAAGGAATTACAATTTGTATGGTAAATATATGATGTCAGTTAGGCAAAAGCAACCAAAAGTAGAGCTTACAATAAACCAAGTTTCTGGAGACCTTTTGTGCAGTGCCAGGAATAAAAGTAACTTTATGTGACCAGAGGAAAGAAGCAGGGCAAAGAAGTGAAAGTTAGATGTTGCCACATGATTTATAACATTTTATATTAAATTCAGAATTTCATGATAAAGAAATATGGATACTTGCCTAAGTGTGTTCCTTTGACAGCCATTAATGAGTTTTTTGTTAGAGATCATTGATGAGTCTTTATGATTTCTCCTTATCTTTGATTTTCAATCAGTTTCATTATGATATGCTTGGGTGGTATTTCCTTTGTATTTCTTCTGTTAAAGATTCTCTGAGCTTCTGGTTGTGTAGATTGATGTCTTTCATCAATTTTGGAAAATTCTCAGCCGTTATCTCTTCAAATATTTTTTCCTGAACTATCATCTTTCTCTTCTCATTTTAGGATTCCAACTGTATGTGCGCTAGACTGTTTATTATTGCCCCACAAGTCTTTCATGCTGTAGCGTATTTTACTTTTTTATTCTTTTTGACTTTATGCCTCAGTTGGAATAATTTCTATTGACCTCTGTTCACCTGTCCTTTTTCTGTTGTGTCCATTTCTGCTGTTATGCCCATTTAATAATTTTATTATTTCAAATACTTTAGATTTCTGTTCTAAACATTTTTAAAGTTCTCTTCTTAGCTATTGAAAACTTTTACCAGCTATTTCTATCTTTTCCTCTAATTTTGGGTCCTATTTATAATGATTGTTTATGATCTTAGTTAATTCCAACATCTGGCCATTTGTGGGTCAGTTTCATTGATTGGTTTTCTTTTGTTCATGCATCACATTTGCCTCCTTCTATGAATGTCTCACAGTTGTGTATTATATGCCAGATATTGTATATAAGCCAATTACAGAGACTGGAGTGGAAAATATTTCTCCTCCACAAGGGCTGATCTCTCTGATCAAATCAGGAATTGAGCTAAGTTGGGGTTGGGTTTATAGCTTTAGTTAGTTTTAATTTACTACCAGTTTCAAAAGCTTTAAGCTGTAAAAGGTCCCTCCTTTCATCTGGGCTTGCTTATCCATGCACCATGTAACTGACATTCCGCTCTGCTCTCCAGCACTGTCCCGGGATTTCTGTGCCACTGAAAATCTCTTTTTGCTCCCTATCTAGACTCAATTGCCCACATGCTGCTGAGCACTTGTTAAAAGTCCCAAGGTTGAGAATTGGTGAATAGTGAGAACTTGCTCTTTGTCTGAAGCTTGTATGTTTTCAATATTCCATAGAGCCCATGATTGTTAAAAGTTCAGCCAGTTTCTCTTTCCCCTGCAAAGTAGTCTACCCAGTGACTGTTCTGCTTCCTCACCTGTTTCCTGGCATTAAAGCTGCCTCTATCCTAGTTCATATACGAAGCATTTATCCCTCTGTGAGATTTAGTCTCACCTAAATTTCTGTGTCCTCAGTCTCCCAATGGGTTAAAAATATAATTATTTTTCCTTTTTATGATGGAAGTGTTGGTTACTTTTGATCGTCTCCATCATAATCAGAAGCAGGACCTTGAAGGCTCTCTGATTTCGAAATCACTTAATATACTTCTTTTCTGTAAAGATAATAATCATTACAAAAAATCAGAAAGTCCAGAAAAATGAACAATGTTCGTGAATATGCATGTTTATAATGTTTGCATCATTTACTCTAGTCCTTTCCGGATTGTTTTAATTTAAAAATATACCAAAAAGTAATTTAAAAGTGTATCCTTTACATTTTTAAAGTGTAAGGAATTTTGCTTTCTCTTCCAATCCTTCATTCAGACTTCAAAATTCCCATTTGCTTCTTGGATTCCGTTTTTTCTCCATTCACCTTTCACATGTACCTTTCGCGATGTGGAAGATCAAATGCATCACCCTTATGCTATGCGGTGGAATTCAGCTTTGTAGCAGCTCTTCCTTCCAAAGGGGTACTCTTCTCTTTTAACTTTTATTTTAGGTTTGGGGTTCATGTGAAGATCTGTTACATAGGTAAACTCACGTTGTGGGGGTTTGTTGTACAGATTATTTCATCACTTAGGTATTCAGCCCAGTACTTGAGGGTGGAGGGTGGGAGGAGGGAGAAGAGCAGCATCACAGGGGTGTTCTTCATGGCACTCATTAAATAAAGGGACTCTGAGGCTCTTATGATCGCCACCTACCAGGACTGTCATGATGGAGGGCATTGATAGTTGGGGGAGACCAACACATATATTTTTCTTAACATATGGTATTTAGCTACAAAGCTACTGAAAAATCCTTATGGGAATGTCACTTCATAGGATAGCTATGGAAGTACTCAGATTTGTGAAAAGGATCTTCTGCAAAGTACACTGAAATTTAGTGGCCTTTCTTGCCAAAGAGGAAAGGAATGAATTACAGGCTACACATTGCAGGGCAGAAGATTTCTGCTACAATCTGCAGCAAAGGAAAGGCACCAAACGAATAACTACAACTGTTATCAGATAAAGTCATTTCCTTTATTTAATAATTTATGGCTTTTATTTTCCTTCTCAGTATCGGTGACTAGGTTTGGTCTGGTTCACACGCTTAACTATTTTAGGGGCTGTCAGGGTAGTTGTGTATGACTCCTCCATCTTGTAGAACGCGTTGAGATGAAGTTCCTCTTGAGCTGACACAGGACTGCATGGTGTTAATTATTGTGCTTGGTAGCCTTGAACTATTTCTCATACGCTCAAAAAAAAAAAAGATGCTGCTGTTTTGCATGTTTACAGGTGTATTTTAACCTTGACTATGTTATTTTTCTGTTTATTAAAATGAACTATTACTAAGTCATCTTAGAAGTGGTTGGGATGGTCCTAGAAGAAATAAATTTTAAAAAGGCACATTTCATATTTTCTGAGAATTTTTGTATTTACTAAGTGCATAATTACATTAACTTTGAGAAGAAGATATTTATAGCTTTGTTTTTTATTGATGAGAGAACTCAAGTGCATGGAAACTTACATATGAAAAAAGAGAAGTGACTTCCTAAGACTGCAACAAAATTAATGATAGAATTGGGTCAGTACTGGACAAATTCTTAATTCCATCTACTTTGAATGTATAGCTGAATACATAGGAGTTTAGTGTAACAGGGGCTCTAGTTTTCACTTCTAAATGCAGGGCTAAAAATAGATGAAATTATTGTCAATAGCATCAGTTCAACTTGATCTTTAAATGATGGCCCAAAACAGGATTCTGACTCCATTTCTTCTCCTTCTCCTGATTTAACTTTTATTTTCGTATCACAAAGGTTACTCACAGCCAACTAGCCAAATGAAAAGTACAACTTGAATAAGGTTCTCTTTTGTCAGTAATTTGTGCCTAATGTTTTTAGCTTTCTCATAGGCTATCGTAAAAAGAAAGATAAATCTGGTTTAAATAAAACCTGATCCTCTTAATGATTTAATAGCAGCTGCCACAGGGTTATGGCATTTTTCAACAGATGCCTCTGTTTCATTTTATACCTAAACTAAGTCTTGGAATATTTATAAAAATCATATACAATATACCTACACACTTTTGGTTAAATATATTGTTTAAAAATAGTCTAAGTCCCAATCTTTGTCTACTTGTAATTATCCACACAAAATTCTAAAAAGAAATCCAAGGCTGTAACCCATTTTGTTAAAAAGATTATTTATGTCTTGCATTTCTCTAAATTTTGTTTTAAGGTCATGGAATAAGCTCCATCTCTACATCTGGGGACTTGATCAGCGGCTTGGTCATTCTGATTATTTCACCCATCTTTACACTCAGTTCTATTTGTTTAGCACTGACAACTTGCTTATACAGCGTGTGCATTATAGTGTCAACTGACATAAACAGAAAAATCACAAAATTAAATAGGACTCTATTTTTTCTTCCAGAGGTGGACTTTGGAATAGTAATTCCAGTTATCATCATGGGTAGGATAATTTGCGATAATTTGTTTAACCACTTTTTAAAAAGCATTTGTTCTGTGCAATGCAGTTGTGCTGGGTAAGTGAATGACACAAAAATGAATGGCAGGCATTCAAAACAATGACTATTATGGAAGATAGAAATAGTTATACAGTAGAGGTGCCAGCTCGATCAAAGAGGAATGAAAACACAGACTACTATGAGAGTGAACATGTTGCAAACTTGATTTCTAAAACGTATAAAGTTTAGAATCTTTAACCAGCAGGGTCAAATTTGTGTAGGTCACATTTTCATGGTTGCTCAATTACCTGGGGCTGGAAGGATTGTTTATGTAAATACATCCAATAGTGAGTTTTCAAGGGCAAACCACAGGAGTATAGACCAACGTTTTACTTAATTCTAAATTGTCTATAAGCATCACTGAATGTAACGTGTTTCTAAAACCACAAGTGTCCCAATCTTCTCTTTTCTTAATGTTTTTATAGGTGCTCCCTCAAAGGAAAAATGTGAGCCCTGGCATGGTTTCTTGTTTGAACTCTTTCTTCTTCGTGGAACATACACTTGCCTGGACCGGGCTGTGGGCTGAGCAGTGTTCCCTTTGTGTAATAACAACTTTGATACAGTGGAGGGAAAATTTAAGTGTCCCCTTCTATGAGGACATTATGACCAGAAACTCAGTAACTTTAGGAAAATTGAAGATTTGATTTGCCTGGACTTGGACCACTGGCTGTGCAATCTCTATTTTCAGGTTTGCAATATGATTTTTTAAGTGGCAAGGAATTAAAATGTTTTCTAAAGCTGCTTCTTTCTAGCCTTCAGCTTCCTTTCATGCCATTGGAAAATTTAATAAGTAAAGTAGCATAGAATGGTAAAAGTTATTACATCTTAATGCTGATTTCTGATAATGCAGATTAAATAGATATTTAGAAACAAGGAATAAAATTATAGAATTAGTGGGAAATTTAAAGATCACTTAATAAAATCTTCTATGTTGTGAATGGACCAGAGCTGCCACCCAAGTCTCAGTTCACAATCTGTCACTGCTGGGGTGGAGTGTGTAGCTTCATCTCATCAACATGAGGATGGAGCTCTGGTAAGTTTCCTTATCAAGGCGGATCACTTGATGCCAGGAATTCAAGACCAGCCTGGCCAACATGGTGAAATCCATCTCTACTAAAAAAATACAAAAACTAGCCGGGCTTGGTGGCACGCACCTGTAATCTCAGCTACTTGAAAGGCTGAGGCAGGAGAATCACTTGAACCCAGGAGGTGGAGGTTGCAGTGAGCTGAGATCGCGCCACTGCACTCCAGCCTGAGCAACAGAGCAAGATCCTATCTCAAAAAAAAAAAAAAAAATGTTTACTGAGCTTCTATTGTGCGTTGGGCATTGCCTCCTCTAGGGATGCAAAAAGGATAAGGATTCCAGCACATTTGTAGTGCGTTCTTTGTACCCAAATTTATTCTTCCCGATGATGTTTTTCCAGGTTGTTTGTGTCATATAATGCCATAAATTGTTCTTCTTCCCCTTCATATTTGAAGTTTTCTTTATATCTATGTAATGTATCTGTCTGTCTGTCTACCTATCTATCTACTTACCTAACTGATAGAACTATTAAATTGGGTGTTCCCAGGAAGCACATGTAATTTCGTCCTTAAAATCAGTAACAGTCTCCCTGTTTCCTATTTACTTTGAGTAGAATTACCTGGCATTTTTTCTTCTTATTTAATTCCATTATAATGTTTTGCTGAAATATCGTGTTGGGGCAGTGTAGGTATGCTATTAATAAAATAACGTTTATGTGAATATGTACCTGCCTATTCATTCTGGAAATAGTGCCATCCTAAGATAAATCTGATTGCACAGTAGAATTCTGTGGGAAGTTTTAGAAATACTGTTGCCTGGGTTCTAGTCTCAGATACTTTAATTTAGTTGTTTTGTGGTGGGGTGTCAGGCATCAGAACTTTTTAAAAACTTCTAAGAATCAGAAACGCTGATATAAATAAGCTTAAAGAGGAAGACTATTATAAATGAATGTAAAAAATATTGAAAATTTATCTAAAGGTTGAAGATAACTGTAGAAAATCCATAAGAAAATGTTTTAAAAATTGGTGACCTGAATGCCATACCAAGAGTCAAAATAAATATAGCCATAAGAAAGTAAAGTTTGGGCTGGGTGTGGTGGCTCACGCCTGTAATCTCAGCACTTTGGGAGGCTGAGGTGGGTGGATCACCTGAGGTCAGAAGTTCGAGACCAGCCTGGCCAACATGGTGAAACCTTGTCTCTACTAAAAATACAATAATTAGCTGGGCGTGGTGGCAGGTGCCTGTAATCCCAGCTACTCAGGAGGCTGAGGCAGGAGAATCGCTTGAACCTGGGAGGTGGAGGTTGCGGTGAGCCAATATCGCGCCATTGCACTCCTCCAGCTTGGGCAACAAGAGCAAAACTCTGGCTCGAAAAAAAAAAAAAGGTAAATCTTGGTCTAGCTAATGTGGAAGACATCTATAATTATTAACTGACTTTTTCACTAACTGTTTCCTAAAATTCAGTGTTCTACAAATTATGGGATGGAAAGTAAGAACGAGCTTTGTTTTATAAAAGATAATTTATGAAGTACTGTTATTCATTATGAAGACAGTTTATATTTGAAGTTAAATTAGAAGTAGTGTTTAAAACTTGCAAGCTCAAGAAAAGTGGGTATTTTTTAGCAGCATTAAAATATTTTGATGACCAAAATCTACTTGAATTTGAACATATTACTAAAATTTGCCTCGTTTTTTTCTGACTTTCTATTAAAAATACTTTGTAGAGAAAAAATAAGGAATACTATAATTTATTTGCAGAGCCCAGCTGGCATTATCCATTAGAGATGGATGTAATTGTCCACTAACATTCTTATTTGATAGACAATAAAAATAATTTTCTCCTTCTGAAAATTTCATGGGGAAGCGAGTCTTATTAATTAGAATAGTAACATGCAAGATGCATGATTTTCTGATTGTAGGCAGAATAAGTAGGCATATAGATCCTTCTTGCCCATGAAGACAAAAACAAAAAGCTTCTGTTCTGGAAAACTCAGTTTCCTTTTATGTGAAATTCTAAAATATGTGGATTTTTCCAATGTAAGTTTTCTTTTTTTTATTATTATTATACTTTAAGTTTTAGGGTACATGTGCACATTGTGCAGGTTAGTTACATATGTATACATGTGCCATGCTGGTGCGCTGCACCCACTAACTCGTCATCTAGCATTAGGTATATCTCCCAGTGCTATCCCTCCCCCCTCCCCACACCCCACAACAGTCCCCAGAGTGTGATGTTCCCCTTCCTGTGTCCATGTGATCTCATTGTTCAATTCCCACCTATGAGTGAGAATATGCGGTGTCTGGTTTTTTGTTCTTGCCATAGTTTACTGAGAATGATGATTTCCAATTTCACCCATGTCCCTACAAAGGACATGAACTCATCATTTTTTGTGGCTGCATAGTATTCCATGGTGTATATGTGCCACATTTTCTTAATCCAGTCTGTCATTGTTGGACATTTGGGTTGGTTCCAAGTTTTGCTATCGTGAATAATGCCGCAATAAACATACGTGTGCATGGGTCTTTATAGCAGCATGATTTATAGTCCTTTGGGTATATACCCAGTAATGGGATGGCTGGGTCAAATGGTATTTCTAGTTCTAGATCCCTGAGGAATCGCCACACTGACTTCCACAATGGTTGAACTAGTTTACAGTCCCACCAACAGTGTAAAAGTGTTCCTATTTCTCCACATCCTCTCCAGCACCTGTTGTTTCCTGACTTTTTAATGATTGCCATTCTAACTGGTGTGAGATGGTATCTCACTGTGGTTTTGATTTGCATTTCTCTGATGGCCAGTGATGATGAGCATTTTTTCACGTGTTTTTTGGCTGCATAAATGTCTTCTTTTGAGAAGTGTCTGTTCATATCCTTCGCCCACTTTTTGATGGGGTTGTTTTTTTCTTGTAAATTTGTTTGAGTTCATTGTAGATTCTGGATATTAGCCCTTTGTCAGATGAGTAGGTTGCGAAAATTTTCTCCCATTCTGTAGGTTGCCTGTTCACTCTGATGGTAGTTTCTTTTGCTGTGCAGAAGCTCTTTAGTTTAATGAGATCCCATTTGTCAATTTTGTCTTTTGTTGCCATTGCTTTTGGTGTTTTGGACATGAAGTCCTTGCCCATGCCTATGTCCTGAATGGTAATGCCTAGGTTTTCTTCTAGGGTTTTTATGGTATAAGGTCTAACGTTTAAGTCTTTAATCCATCTTGAATTGATTTTTGTATAAGGTGTAAGGAAGGGATCCAGTTTCAGCTTTCTACATATGGCTAGCCAGTTTTCCCAGCACCATTTATTAAATAGGGAATCCTTTCCCCATTGCTTGTTTTTCTCAACTTTGTCAAAGATCAGATAGTTGTAGATATGCGGTGTTGTTTCTGAGGGCTCTGTTCTGTTCCATTGATCTATATCTCTGTTTTGGTACCAGTACCATGCTGTTTTGGTTACTGTAGCCTTGTAGTATAGTTTGAAGTCAGGTAGTGTGATGCCTCCAGCTTTGTTCTTTTGGCTTAGGATTGACTTGGCGATGTGGGCTCTTTTTTGGTTCCATATGAACTTTAAAGTAGTTTTTTCCAATTCTGTGAAGAAAGTCATTGGTAGCTTGATGAAGATGGCATTGAATCTATAAATTATTTTGGGCAGTACGGCCATTTTCACGATATTGATTCTTCCTACCCATGAGCATGGAATGTTCTTCCATTTGTTTGTATCCTCTTTTATTTCCTTGAGCAGTGGTTTGTAGTTCTCCTTGAAGAGGTCCTTCACATCCCTTGTAAGTTGGATTCCTAGGTATTTTATTCTCTTTGAAGCAATTGTGAATGGGAGTTCACTCATGATTTGGCTCTCTGTTTGTCTGTTGTTGGTGTATAAGA
This sequence comes from Homo sapiens, assembly GCF_000001405.40. Taxonomy (NCBI): domain Eukaryota; kingdom Metazoa; phylum Chordata; class Mammalia; order Primates; family Hominidae; genus Homo; species Homo sapiens. The sequence goes on along the minus strand of NC_000006.12, from coordinate 9,814,957 downwards.
ATGCTTGTGATTTTTGTACATTGATTTTGTATCCTGCGACTTTGCTGAAGTTGCTTATCAGCTTAAGGAGATTTTGGGCTGAGACAATGGGGTTTTCTAGATAAACAATCATGTCGTCTGCAAACAGGGACAATTTGACTTCCTCTTTTCCTAATTGAATGCCCTTTATTTCCTTCTCCTGCCTGATTGCCCTGGCCAGAACTTGCAACACTATGTTGAATAGGAGTGGTGAGAGAGGGCATCCCTGTCTTGTGCCCGTTTTCAAAGGGAATGCTTCCAGTTTTTGCCCATTCAGTATGATATTGGCTGTGGGTTTGTCATAGATAGCTCTTATTATTTTGAAATACGTCCCATCAATACCTAATTTATTGAGAGTTTTTAGCATGAAGGGTTGTTGAATTTTGTCAAAGGCTTTTTCTGCATCTATTGAGATAATCATGTGGTTTTTGTCTTTGGCTCTGTTTATATGCTGGATTACATTTATTGATTTGCGTATATTGAACCAGCCTTGCATCCCAGGGATGAAGCCCACTTGATCATGGTGGATAAGCTTTTTGATGTGCTGCTGGATTCGGTTTGCTAGTATTTTATTGAGGATTTTTGCATCAATATTCATCAAGTATATTGGTCTAAAATTCTCTTTTTTTATTGTGTCTCTGCCTGGCTTTGGTATCAGAATGATGCTGGCCTCATAAAATGAGTTAGGGAGGATTCCCTCTTTTTCTATTGATTGGAATAGTTTCAGAAGGAATGGTACCAGTTCCTCCTTGTAACTCTGGTAGAATTCGGCTGTGAATCCATCTGGTCCTGGACTCTTTTTGGTTGGTAAGCTATTGATTATTACCACAATTTCAGATCCTGTTATTGGTCTCTTCAGAGATTCAACTTCTTCCTGGTTTAGTCTTGAGAGAGTGTATGTGTCAAGGAATTTATCCATTTCTTCTAGATTTTCTAGTTTATTTGCGTAGAGGTGTTTGTAGTATTCTCTGATGGTAGTTTGTATTTCTGTGGGATCGGTGGTGATATCCCCTTTATCATTTTTTATTGCATCTATCTGATTCTTCTCTCTTTTTTTCTTTATTAGTCTTGCTAGCAGTCTATCAATTTTGTTGATCCTTTCAAAAAAAACCAGCTCCTGGATTCATTAATTTTTTGAAGGGTTCTTTGTGTCTGTATTTCCTTCAGTTCTGCTCTGATTTTAGTTATTTCTTGCCTTCTGCTAGCTTTTGAATGTGTTTGCTCTTGCTTTTCTATTTCTATTAATTGTGATGTTAGGGTGTCAATTTTGGATCTTTCCTGCTTTCTCTTGTGGGCATTTAGTGCTATAAATTTCCCTCTACACACTGCTTTGAATGCATCCCAGAGACTCTGGTATGTTGTGTCTTTGTTCTCGTTGGTTTCAAAGAACATCTTTATTTCTGCCTTCATTTCGTTATGTACCCAGTAGTCATTCAGGAGCAGGTTGTTCAGTTTCCATGTAGTTGAGCGGTTTTGAGTGAGATTCTTAATCCTGAGTTCTAGTTTGATTGCACTGTGGTCTGATAGATAGTTTGTTATAATTTCTGTTCTTTTACATTTGCTGAGGAGAGCTTTACTTCCAACTATGTGGTCAATTTTGGAATAGGTGTGGTGTGGTGCTGAAAAAAATGTATATTCTGTTGATTTGGGGTGGAGAGTTCTGTAGATGTCTATTAGGTCTGCTTGGTGCAGAGCTGAGTTCAATTCCTGGGTATCCTTGTTGACTTTCTGTCTCGTTGATCTGTCTAATGTTGACAGTGGGGTGTTAAAGTCTCCCATTATTAATGTGTGGGAGTCTAAGTCTCTTTGTAGGTCACTCAGGACTTGCTTTATGAATCTGGGTGCTCCTGTATTGGGTGCATATATATTTAGGATAGTTAGCTCTTCTTGTTGAATTGATCCCTTTACCATTATGTAATGGCCTTCTTTGTCTCTTTTGATCTTTGTTGGTTTAAAGTCTGTTTTATCAGAGACTAGGATTGCAACCCCTGCCTTTTTTTGTTTTCCATTTGCTTGGTAGATCTTCCTCCATCCTTTTATTTTGAGCCTATGTGTGTCTTGGCACATGAGCTGGGTTTCCTGAATACAGCACACTGATGGGTCTTGACTTTTTATCCAACTTGCCAGTCTGTGTCTTTTAATTGGAGCATTTAGTCCATTGACATTTAAAGTTAATATTGTTATGTGTGAATTTGATCCTGTCATTATGATGTTAGCTGGTGATTTTGCTCGTTAGTTGATGCAGTTTCTTCCTAGTCTTGATTGTCTTTCCATTTTGGCATGATTTTGCAGCGGCTGGTACCAGTTGTTCCTTTCCATGTTTAGTGCTTCCTTCAGGAGCTCTTTTAGGGCAGGCCTGGTGGTGACAAAATCTCTTAGCATTTGTTTGTCTGTAAAGTATTTTATTTCTCCTTCACTTATGAAGCTTAGTTTGGCTGGATATGAAATTCTGGGTTGAAAATTCTTTTCTTTAAGAATGGTGAATATTGGCCCCCACTCTCTTCTGGCTTGTAGGGTTTCTGCCGAGAAATCTGCTGTTAGTCTGATGGGCTTTCCTTTGAGGGTAACCCGACCTTTCTCTCTGGCTGCCCTTAACATTTTTTCCTTCATTTCAACTTTGGTGAATCTGACAATTATGTGTCTTGGAATTGCTCTTCTCGAGGAGTATCTTTGTGGCGTTCTCTGTATTTCCTGAATCTGAACGTTGGCCTGCCTTGCTAGATTGGGGAAGTTCTCCTGGATAATATCCTGCAGCGTGTTTTCCAACTTGGTTCCATTCTCCCCATCACTTTCAGGTACACCAATCAGACGTAGATTTGGTCTTTTCACATAGTCCCATATTTCTTGGAGGCTTTGCTCATTTCTTTTTGTTCTTTTTTCTCTAAACTTCCCTTCTCGCTTCATTTCATTCATTTCATCTTCCATCGCTGATACCCTTTCTTCCAGTTGATCACATCGGCTCCTGAGGTTTCTGCATTCTTCACGTAGTTCTCGAGCCTTGGTTTTCAGCTCCATCAGCTCCTTTAAGCACTTCTCTGTATTGGTTATTCTAGTTATACATTCTTCTAAATTTTTTTCAAAGTTTTCAACTTCTTTGCCTTTGGTTTGAATGTCCTCCCGTAGCTCAGAGTAATTTGATCGTCTGAAGCCTTCTTCTCTCAGCTCGTCAAAGTCATTCTCCATCCAGCTTTGTTCCATTGCTGGTGAGGAACTGCGTTCCTTTGGAGGAGGAGAGGCGCTCTGCGTTTTAGAGTTTCCAGTTTTTCTGTTCTGTTTTTTCCCCATCTTTGTGGTTTTATCTACTTTTGGTCTTGATGATGGTGATGTACAGATAGGTTTTTGGTGTGGATGTCCTTTCTGTTTGTTAGTTTTCCTTCTAACAGACAGGACCCTCAGCTGCAGGTCTGTTGGAATACCCTGCCGTGTGAGGTGTCTGTGTGCCCCTGCTGGGGGGTGCCTCCCAGTTAGGCTGCTCGGGGGTCAGGGGTCAGGGACCCACTTGAGGAGGCAGTCTGCCGGTTCTCAGATCTCCAGCTGTGTGCTGGGAGAACCACTGCTCTCTTCAAAGCTGTCAGACAGGGACATTGAAGTCTGCAGAGGTTACTGCTGTCTTTTTGTTTGTCTGTGCCCTGCCCCAGAGGTGGAGCCTACAGAGGCAGGCAGGCCTCCTTGAGCTGTGGTGGGCTCCACCCAGTTCGAGCTTCCCGGCTGCTTTGTTTACCTAAGTAAGCCTGGGCAATGGCGGGCGCCCCTCCCCCAGCCTCGCTGCCGCCTTGCAGTTTGATCTCAGACTGCCGTGCTAGCAACCAGCGAGACTCCGTGGGCGTAGGACCCTGCGAGCCAGGGGCCGGATATAATCTCGTGGTGCGCCGTTTTTTAAGCCCGTCGGAAAAGCGCAGTATTCCGGTGGGAGTGACCCGATTTTCCAGGTGCGTCCGTCACCCCTTTCTTTGACTGGGAAAGGGAACTCCCTGACCCCTTGCGCTTCCCAAGTGAGGCAATGCCTCGCTCTGCTTCGGCTCGCGCACAGTGTGCGCACCCACTGGCCTGGGCCCACTGTCTGGCACTCCCTAGTGAGATGAACCCGGTACCTCAGATGGAAATGCAGAAATCACCAGTCTTCTGCATCGCTCACGCTGGGAGCTGTAGACTGGAGCTGTTCCTATTCGGCCATCTTGGCTCCTCCCCCCCCAATGTAAGTTTTCTCAGATGCAAACATTTTTGAACAAGTTAATGCTGTATTTACTCGGAAAAAGAATAAGTTGGAATTGGGAAGACAAAAGAGAGGTAATGCAGATGACAGATGACGGAACAGAAAAGTGTTTTTTTGCAATGCCTTGTTAGAAGACAAAAAGGAAACAAGTCAATCCAGGTGAATCCTGAACATTTGTCTCCTGGATCAGTCAGTGTGGAGAAACAGCCATTGTCAACGAGGGGCTGGCAGAGCCAGGGCACGTGGCTTAGCCATGACCTCACGTATTCTCTCACGGTGTCATTAGGGATAGTACTCGGACTAATAACCCTGAGCATCCCAGAGGAGGTTGGCCAACAGCTCTGAGGCCCCCCACAGCATGTGTGTAAGGATGCAACAGGGAAAATGATGCCAGAAGGACAGCCTGTCACTCTTTCCCAGGAAACTTTGTCTGTCAATTCCTCACTTTCCTGAATATTTCATTTCTTGTGTCATTACTGTCTCCAAGCACTTTTACTATTAAAATTTTAAACATAGAGAAAAGTTGAAAAAATTGTATAATGAGCACTCATTCACTGCTAGATCTACCATCTTGTCATTTCTTTTGAACTTAAAATAATATTTCTTGGAGATAGTAAATAGTGAATGAATATTTGCTAATTTCCTCCTAGTATGAATGTTAGATAGTGTTATATGGAAGAATAAATTTTAAAAATTATAAATTGAAACAAAGAAGAAACTAATATATAGAGAGCAAATAGCACTATCTGAAGCAATTGTGTAATTTGTTAATACAAAAAACCTGCATTCTTTGTAATGCAACCAAACAAAAGTATATAATGTTTGGAAAACTGAATTTATTATTGATATTTTAGCTTTTTCAAATTGTCTCTTTTTTTAAGAGGAAAACTATGTAATAGTTTCAACAATTTAGATAACAGATTGATCTCCTAATAGGTCATTAAACTTCCTTTGCATTTTGATGGTCAAAAAAATCATGAAAGCTATACTCGACTTTCCCCTGAATTTCCAGTTTGTCTAATGGCTAAAGGAGAGAAAGCAGAATCAGGAGTGGATAATACAGCTGGCCTTTCAGAGAAGGAAACACAGAAGAATCCTCGTGCACCAATGGATGAGGCAGACGTTAAATCCGCAGCACACTCTTCTCAGGGTTGGTTGACTTATTTTTTTCCCAGCATTCTATTGCTAGTATTCCAAGTTGTGCTACATAAATTATATTATGAATATAAGAAACTATCATTCTTTTAAAATATGTTAGAATATTAGTTTTTATATCACATTGTCTATTACATTTGTAAATATAAAATAACATCATTGAAACAAGTCTTTCTCCATGACCTTATTGCTTTGAAAGTTTTGTTGTTGTTGTTGTTAAGGGGGCATCATTTGACTTCTGTTGGTTCTTATTTTTAGATTTCAAATTTTCTTGCATGCTCACAAGACTGGTAACCAAAAACTGGCTATGAAAGATAAAATATTTTCAGAAAAATGTTGTCAATTAATATAATTTATTTTATTGGCCTTTGTTTTCAAAGACTGGTTTAATCAGGCAATAAATAAGCAAATAAAGTTTTTGGAAATATTCAATCTACAAAAATTCCAACTTACAGAATATATATGCTATTAGAGATTATTATCCTTCTTATAAAAGGATTGTTGCATTTACCAAAAGATTCACAAGCTTCTTTCACAGAGTGTATCCTCTAGCAGTAAATATTCGTATCAGTTAAAATAGCAGTTGATGGATTGGTATTAATTATAATAACGGTAGCATGTAATAGTACTACCAGCATTGTACTAATGCTACAACTGATAAGAAGCCTTGTAATAAGTAATTTACTTTTATTTTTGAAATTATTAAATATTTTAAACATCTTATACAGAAAATAACATAACACCAGTACCCAGTACCCAGCTTTGCTGATTTTTACTATTTTGCCGTATTACTTCCCATCTTTTCTTTCAAAAAATAACATTTACCCGTGATTAATGCTCTCTGTGAACTGCTCCCTAATTCCATTCCCAGCCTTCTCAGATTTGTTATTGATCATTTCCATGTATATTTTAAAACATTTTCTACATATATATGGAATCACTAACATTGTATATCTTTTCTATGTTTTTAAACTTTGTATAAATATATCATACTTCACATCTGCTTCTGTAACTTTTATTTTCTCTCAGTGTTGTCTTTGATATTTATCTAACTATATCTGTCTGTCATCTATTTCTAATTTACTAATTTTGTTGTTATATTGGATTCCTTTGCATGATTATAACAAAATTTATTTATGTTTGTTATTGTTGTTGTTACTAGTTATACTCTACTGCAAACAAAGCCACAATGACCAGTCTTGAACATGCTCTGCTTGTGCACATGGGTGTGAATTTCACTAGAGTCTACACAACCCCAAAAGGAATGGCTGAATCACATGCACACACTTTCTAACTGTAGAGACTAGTGACACTGCCACCCCTAGTAGTATGTCAATTTACCCTCCTAACTGTTGTGTAAGAGAATTGCTTTGGCCCACATTCTATCAACCCTTGTTAATGTCAGATTAGTTTTGCCAATTCAATTGCCATGAAATAATATCTCTTTATTTTAACTAGGATTTTTCTGGATACAAGTATATTAGAGCATTTTTGAAACTGTCTGTATTTCTGTTGACCATTTGGGTATTATCCTGTGGGAATTGCCTGTTCCTATACTTTATCCACTTTTTCTTTGGGCCATTTTTTTGCCTCATGGAGCTGTAAGAGTTCTGGGGCTTTGTTGTTGTTGTTGTTGTTGTTTTTAGGTGAGTGGTAGGGGACATTTATTTTCTGGTTCAATTTTTGATTGTTACTTATTATTTCATCATTCTATGTTTAATTCATTAAAAACTAATTGGGTTAACTTGGTCGTAGTACATTATCTTTTAAATTTTAAATTTATTTCATTTTGTTAAAGTTTTATTGAGTAGGTGATATATCCACATTGTTCAAAAGAAAACCTGCCTTCCCCTGCTGCTCCCCATCAACCTAGTTCTTCTCTCCGAAGGAAACCGATGTTTTTTGTGTATTAGTCGATACTTTTATGTATCTATAAGAAAATACACAAAACTATTACTATAATTTTGAAATACCACTAACTCTATCATTGTATTATATATTTTTCTTGTCATTCCTAATGCTTATTATTAATACTAGCCATCATTTTTTTTCGTTATTAGTCTTGCTTTTAATCTTTTCATTTATTTTTTTCAGTATACAACTGACTTTTACCTTCATTCAAGTTCTCCACTGATTGTTTATTTTCTATGTATTTATCCTCTTAACTTTTTTATGTATCTTAACTTTTATTAGATCATAGAAAATCTACACATTGTAGATTAGAGAAAATTATGAATGGATCTATCCATTCCTTCCTGTAATTTTGTCAGATAATGCTTTATATATTTTAAATCTGTTAAGTGCATACAAGTTTATAATTGTTATAGTTTGGAGGATGTTATAATTCTTTTCTACTACTGTTTGTCTATTAATACTTTTGAATTTATGTTCTATTTCATCTGATATGAATACTACCCACCTGAATTATTATTTTTTAGTATTTTCATGGCACACATTATTATGCCACACGTTATTTTTAAATCGTAACATTTATCTGTAGTACAGTTTGGGCATGTATCAGTTAGTAGCATAAATCTGGATTTTATTTTCTATTCAAGACAAGTTAAGGGGTACAAAAATACAGTTTTAGATAGAAGGAATAAATATTAGTATTTGATAGTACAGCAGGAAAATTATAGTTAACAATAATTTATTGTATGTTTCAAAATAGCTAGAATATCAGATTTGTAATATTCATAACACAGAGAAAAGATAAATGGTTGAGTTGATGGATATCCTTAGTACCCCAATTTGATCATTCGCCATTGTAGAGAGGTATCAAAATATACATGTACTTCCAAAATATGTAAAACTCACATATAGTAATTAAAAATAGAAGAAAAGACAAGTAGATAACATGTGCCATTTAAATAGGTAAGTTTAAAGTTTTGGAAATTACTCTTATTATTGTTATATTTGTACTTGATGGCATCTAATTTTGTACTTTAAATTTACCATCCTATTTTTACTTTTTAAAAAAATTAATTTGCTTATTCCCTTCTGTCTGTATAATCTACAGGTTTTATCCATTACTTTAAATGTTATCCTCCATTTCTGATTTACATATTTAACTATAAACCATCTCTAAAATTCTAAGCTCCGTCCTTAGTTCCATTCTTTTCCCGGGTGTGGCAAGGGCTTTTAGCACGTCTTGCCCATTGAAAACACCTCCTCTTCCTACTGCTGTTGGCGGCTGTGGTTTCAGTTCCACTTTTTTATTAAACACAACAGTCAGTATTTTTTACTCTTAATAGAAAATTAATTTAATGACACGTTGGTGCTTCATTGTAGTTTTAAGATAACATGTCTTCACTCTGGCTCCATTTTTCTTCTTGCTGAAGTAAGTCTCTAGTAATTCGTTTAGAGTTTGGATCTCTCTTAGTCATTGTATGTCTGAAAGAGTCTTTATTATTTTCCCTCGTTTTGATAGATCATTTAGCCATGTGTAAGATTCTAGGGTAGTAATAACCTTTTCCTTACCATTTTTCCACCGCCTTTTTATGTCTCTTGTGGCAGATCAGAAATCAGTGTTAAGTGGGTAGCCATTATAAAGGGGCGTTATGGATTTCCATTTCAACTTTAGATAGATCACTGATACATTTTAGGAGGATTTATTTGAGCAGAGCATGTCTAAAACCAGAACAGGTCGGAAAAGCTTAGAGTAGTCCAAGCAAAAGATGAGGGCCTCAATTAGGGCAGAGAGAATAAAGTTAGAGAAGAGAATGAACATTCATAAAGTGTTAAAGAGGTGCAATAGAATGGCCATAAAAATGATGTTGTTGATTGATTGAATATGGATGGTGGAGGATAACAAAGTTGATTCCTAAACTTTGAACACAATAGATATGGATGTCAACCAGCAGATAATAGGAATCACAGGAAGAGGAATAAGAGTAGAGGAAAACCAGGAGCTTGATTTTGGATCTACAGGGTTTGATATTTCTATATTATATCCAAATAAAAATGGTGAAGGGGGCTGGGTGTGGTGACTCACACCTGTAATTCCATCACTTTGGGAGGCCGAGGCTGGTGGATCACTTGAGCTCAGGAGTTTCAGACCAGCCTGGGCAACATGATGAAACCCCATCTCTACTAAAAATACAAAAAAATGAGCCAGGCGTGGTGGCAGGTGACTGTCATCCCAGCTACTCAGGAGACTGAGGCACGAGAATCACTTGAACCCGGGAGGTGGAGGTTGCAGTGAGCTGAGATTGCAACACTGCACTGCAGCCTGGGTGATAGAGTGAGACTCCATCTCAAAAAAAAAAAAAGAAAAAAAAAAGTTCAAGAGATCATTGGGAAATGGTTGTGAAGCTCAGGAGGGAGATGGAGAAGGGGGAGGGAGTACATGTTCCTTAGGCCCATGTGAACACAGAGACTGTAGCTGAAACTGCTAAGTGGTTGAGTATTTTTGTTGTTTTTGTTTTTTTTTTTTGAGACGGAGTCTTGCTCTGTCGCCTAGCTGGAGTCTAGTGGCGTGATCTCCGCTCACTGCAAGCTTCGCCTCCTGGGTTCATGCCATTCTCCTGCCTCAGCCTCCCGAGTAGCTGGGACTACAGGCGCCCACCACCACACCCGGCTAATTTTGTTTTTGTATTTTTAGTAGAGATGGGGTTTCACCATGTTAGCCAGGATGGTCTCGATCTCCTGACCTTGTGATCTGCCCGCCTCGGCCTCCCAAAGTGCTGGGATTACAGGCGTGAGCCACCGCGCCCCTCCAAGTGGTTGAGTTTAACCAGAAGGAACGTGTAGAGGGATAGGCGTGTTGAGTTGAGAACACAGATCAGGGAAACGGCAATGTTTCAGGAGAAGAATGACGGATCCCTACATGGAGTCATAATGGCCAGACACAATGCCTACACGATTCTACCTCCCAGGTGGCATCTGTCTTCCTGTCTTCTTCTGCCTATCAGCTTCATAGAGAGTGATAAATATTTCTCAAGTTGTTACTAGGGTTCTCCAAGTCCCTTAGAGATTATGCCTTCTTGGACCAAGTACAACTCTCTGCCAGGCTCAAGTATTGGTAACCCCTGCTTTCCTAAGGGCAGGTCTACTATGAGGCCTGGGCTTCCGTATTCACACCTGACCTGCTTTCTTGTGAGTAAGCCAATACCATATCACAACTGAGGTACCACCACCTCAACCTCCAGACAACTAAATATCAGTTTATAGAGTGATGCCTACCTGGAGATATGTTGAAGTTTTATACACAGAATACATATATATCAAATTATGTCACTGGCTTTAAACAAATATTTCTAAAGATAAATTAGAAATCAAATATATGCTGAAGCTATGTAACAAGCATCACAGTTATAAAGCAACTTGACCAAAGTGTATTGTTTCCCACATGTTAGAACTAGGATTTGCGGCCAGAGAAGGTAAGAAATAACTGACAACATGGTCTGGTTTTGGTGGGTAAAGTGTGGAGCTAGTGATCCTCAAAATACACAACTTGAAGCTGGCTTTAAGCATTTATTTTTTATCTTTTTGAGACAGAGTTTCGCTCTTGTTGCCTAGGCTGGAGTGCAATGGCGCAATCTCGGCTCACTGCAACCTCCAGCTCCTGGGTTTAAGCGATTCTCCTGCCTCAGCCTCCTGAGTAGCTGGGATTATAGGTGTGCACCACCATACCCAGCTAATTTTGTATTTTTAGTACAGATGGGGTTTCTCCATGTTGGTCAGGCTGGTCTTGAACTCCTGACCCCAGGTGATCCGCCCGCCTTGGCCTCCCAAATTGCTGGGATTACAGGCGTGAGCCACTGCGCCCGGCCTTAAGCATTTTTTATGTTGAAATTTAATAGGTTCAAGGCTTTAATTTTTAAATTTTAAATACAAATATCCAAGGTACGTATCAATGAGTGTGTCAGTCTACTTAGTGTGGATAAAAGGAAGGTAAGAGGTGGAGCATAAAATAAGCCTAAGGCCCTGGAAGTCTGAAAAAGAGCAGAGAGTGTCATAAAAGGGGCCCCTCGGGAGGCCGAGGTGGGCAGATCACTCGAGCCCAGGAGTTCAAGACCAGCCTGGGCAACATGGCAAAGCCCCATCTCTACAAAAAATACAAAAATTTACCAGGTTTGGTGGTGCACGCCTGTAGTCCCAGCTACTTGGGCTGAGTCAGGAGGATTGCCTGAACCCAGGAAGTCGAGGCTGCAGTGAGCTGAGATGACATCACTGCACTCCAGTCGGGGTGACAAAGTGAGACCCTGTCTCAATAAAAGGGGGGATGGGTTCCCAAAGCACAGACCAGCCACTGTCAGATTTAGCCTCATTCCGAATTCCTTTGTGGGGCAGTTATGTGGAGGATGTTCGTGGACACTGTGGGTAATTCTCATTCAGTTGTCTCTGCAGGAGAATCACTTTTATACCATTCCTGTGTGTGGAATTAGATTAGTCAGGCCTTCCAACCTGAGGGCCTGCGATGCCCTTGTTCTGTGAAAACAAATTACTTTAACATTAGCATATCATCTGTGTAACCTGGGAAGCTAAGGCACAGAAAGGGAAGGAAAGGACGAAGCCCTTGCTGATGGTTGAAGATAATCTTCCTAAGATAAAATTAATAATTCACAAAATACAAAAGGAATGATTATGATTTCATTAGATAAAACCCCAGAAAACCACAGATTTTTTTTTGCTTAAATATCAAGTTCAAAAGTCAACTGTAAAGCCGCCACATGAGACACTGTAAAATACATGTATTTGCAAAGCAGGGTTTTTTTTCTTTTTCTTTCCCAGTGATTTTGGATTAAATATGGAGCTAAATATTCTTACTTTAGAATTTTTAACTTTTGGGAAAGTGAGTTTGACTTAACTAATAAACTGTCAGTATTATTGACGTTTTAACCTAGTGTTAGGATACTGAGCAGAAGATGACAGCCAATTACTCCTAGACCATTTTGGCTTTCTAGTTTTTCCTCAGGGTAATGTAGGCTATATTTTCCACACCTACTGCACTGAGCTATAAACTTGACTTCTAGAATGCTGCCCCTAGTTCCCCTAAAAGGAGGACAGGTAGCACTCTAGAAAACATGAATACCAGCATGTTCAATCCGAGAATACTGTATATCACGAGAGGAAGAATGTTTTCTGTTTAGGAAAATGCTTTAGAAAAAAAAAGATTAATCATTTGCTCTGCTCTGAGCGTGGAGACTTATTCAAGCCTCACATTCAGAGACTGCAGAGGCATCTTCTGCTCTTATTCTAAACAAATTTATAGACAAACGGAACACAAAAATCTCTTCAAATACATGCCTTTACTATTGCTTATATTTATTTATTTTTCTTGGAAGCATATTATTAGCAGTTGATGTCCCCCATGGGTTTGTTTTCTAATATATCAGGGCTGTGATACAGTGTGCTGTTTCTGCCACTAATATGTTGCTAAGAGATTTAATAATGGGTAAACAAACACAACATGTGGTAATTCATTTCAAATTAAAAGTTTATTAAACTCTGGCTTGATGACTTTCTGGCTATTTACAATTAAAGGAGTGAAGCTTAGGGAAGGGGTGACCACGTGGTGTGTTTATGGCTGCAGCGTTTCTGTATGAAAAATACGTTTATGATCTTTCACAAGCTGTCCACGTTGATAGGCTCCATATGTAATCTGTTGAGTCAACTACTGTCCTAGGGTCATGAAACAGTGACTTTAGTGCTCATTTGCAGGCACATATGTGTGTGCACACACAAGCACACTCATGTGCACTCACATACACATACTGCAGGATTCCAGACTTAATCCTGTGGTTGATGTTTTAAGTGGTGGTCAGCCTTGCAAATAGGTGGATGTCAGAGGCCAGAAAATACTTATAAAAGGCCAGAAGAAGAGACTCATGATATAACTTTTGGATTATCGCCATCTTTTAGGTTGTTTTACTTTTCAGGAGTCAGTCTAGGCTAATATTTCACACACTTGATAATTTTGTTTTGAATGTGCCTGCATTGCATGAGCAGTGTTCTCTGGCAGGATCTATATCTGTTTCGTGATGCTGAATTCAATTCAGAATTTTGTTGTGCAATCACGAGAACGAATCATGCTACCAAATGCTATGGAATTCTAAATCAAAGCAACACCCAGTCCTTGGCCTTCGAGGGCTTACTTGAGCCCACGCCTGCTCCACCGTGAGATATGCAAGTGTCCACATATCCAAGAGATGACGAGAAGGCCCACCAGCACTCTATTTACATAAGGGGCCTGCAAGCCTTCTCAGAGAGAATTCAAACGTGGAGAAGAATTGAAGCAGATGCAGTTGGCTAAATAGAGATTCAGTTGTTAGGTGAGAGGGGCGATTGTGGGAAATGTATGATGTCCAGGAATCACGTTGTTCTTTAGCCCAGTCATCTCACAGTGGAATTCCCAGGGAGAGGGAGGAGTGCTTGGAAACACTCCCCAAACTGCTAAAAGAGAACCATTTCATTGAAATTCTGTCAGACACAGAACTGTATATTATAGTATATACTCTCCTCTGAGACAGTTAGGCGTGCTATATACAAATACAGTGGTCTTCCCTTACCCAAGCTTTCGATTTCCGAAGTTTCAGTTACCTGTGGTCAACTGTGGTCCAAAAATAGTATAGTACAGTAAGATATTTTGAGAAAGAGACCATATTCACATAACTTTTATTACAACATACTGTTAAAATTGTTGTATTTTATTATTAGTTATGGTTGTTAATTTCTTACTGTGACTAATTTATAAATTAAACATTATCATGGGTATGTATGGATAGGAAAAAGTTTAGTGTAGACAGAGTTTGGTACTATGTGAAGTTTCAGATATCCAATGGGGATCCTGGAACTTATCCACCATGAATAAGAGGGAACGGCTCTACTGTGTTCTGTGTGTGGCAACGTTGTAATTCAGGGTGTTATGGAGCCACTGCAGGGAAGCATATATGGATGGAAATTAGTGGTTCATGGGCTCATGTGAGCATGCAGGTGGACTCCTGGAAATAAATGACTGGGCTTTTGAAGTCAATTGAAATTGGTCTGAACTTTTAATATGACCCCGTTTTTAATCCTGTACTGATGTGATCTGGGGACATATGTGTTAGTTTCACAATCTTGTTCTGGGGCTAGAAGGATAATTTAGAGTTCAAAAGGCAAGCATAGTCGGGAATTATCTGGGGGTAAAAGGAAAACCACCAGCTAAGTTAAGAAGTCACATAGTATAAGGTGTATTTGAGGAACTATAAGGAACCACTGGGTTCCAGTATACAAATTGGGATGGATTTGGGCAAGGATCATTTTAGGGCACAAAATCCAGTAAGAAGGACATTACATTAGCTTGGAGAAGAGATGGTAAGGACCTGAGGTAGAACACTGCTGTGGGATGCACTCTAGAGACGTGATAAAATTGCATTAACAGGACTTGGAAAGTGAAGAGCTGTGTCATAAGCAAAGATGTGAAGCTTGTAGGCAAGACTATTTGTATCCCAGGTTTCCAGGAAAATAGCGTTGCCCTTATTGGAGATAAGAAACCCAAAGGAGCAGGTATCAGATAAAAGTTAACCAGTTACTTTTGGACAAACTGAATTTAAGATGTTAGGGGAAATTAAGAAGACAATGACTTGCTTGGAGTTGAAAAGATGAATTTAAAGCTCAGAAGTAACATATGGGTGCCATCCTAATATTCAGGCTAAAGCCACAGGAATGAATGAGTTTACCAAGGAAGAAAAGAGTAGACCTAAGAGTAGGACATTCTTAATTGAAGGGACAGGTAAAAGAAAAGATGCAGGAAATTGCAAAAGAACACTCTGAAAAAGCAGAACTAGGAGGTCAGACATTGTGGAGGTTTAAGTCTCAAGAGGGAAGAGAGTGGTTACATCAGTAAGATAAACTGTTGCAGCACTAATCAGACCTGATGTGCATAGAAATCACCCAGAGATCTTGCTAAATGGAAAATTCTAATTCATCAAGTTTGAGGTGGGCATTAATTCTGTAGGTCCCATGTGATGCCTATGGCACTGGTCTGTGAACCTCACTTTGCTTCAGATTACCAGGATAAAAATGAAAAGACAGTTGCCTAGAGCTGCTTCTGAAGGCACCAGCTCTATCTATTCCCACTTCCACTTACTGGTTTAAGTCTTAAAAAATTATTCTTAGAGAGATTACAATTGCAGGACAGTAGTCTTTGTTTGGCTTATTTATGTATCCCAGGTTCTACAAGATACATAAATGTATGATGTCCCAAATCATAGCTTCTCAGTAAACATTTGCAGAATGAATAAATGAATATAGCTCTGAATACCAAGTAGGATCAGAACTCTTTTCTATGGAAAGCAGTCAAGTAGGCATTTTATTTATTGCATTTTTTAAATTAAAATACAGTAAAATTGACTTTTTTAAAGAGTATTCAGTTCTGCGTACAAATACAGATTTGCGTAATCACCACCACAGTAAGAATAAAGAAACATTTCATTGCCACTCCCCAACCCTTCAAAAAAACTGTGTGCTGTGTTTTACAGGCACCTCCTTCCCTCCACCCATCCTAATCCCTGGCACTCACTGATCTGTTTGTCATCACCGTAGTTTTATCTTCAAAATTGGCATAGTTGTCATTACAGTTTTGACTTTTTAAATTGTCATACAGTATGCAACCTGTATGCATACTGGTTGAGATTGGCTTCTTTCACTCAACATAGTACCACTGAGAGTCATACAAGTAATTGTGCATATCAACAGTTCGTACCCCGTCATTGTTGAGTGGTACCCCTTTATATGGATGTACCACAGTTTATCTGTTCCTTAACTCAAGGACATTTACATTGCTTCAATTTTTGGCAATTATGAAGAGTTGCTATACATGCGCATAGGCAAGTTTTTGTGTGAATATAGTATTTACTTATTCAGAATACATACCTACGAGTGTGATTGCTGGATTGTATTGTATGTGTATATTTAACTTTTTAGAAACTGCCTGTTTTACAAAGTGACTGTATCATTTTACATTTTCACCAGCAGATGGGAGTTTCAGTTGCTCTGCATCCTTATCAGCACTTAGTATTGTCAGTCTTTTAAAAGTCCTAATTTGTGTGTAGTGGCATCTCATGATTTCAATTTAGATTTCTTTAATGACTAATGTACTTATTTGCCATATATCCTCTTTAGTAAAGTATCGGTTCAAGTCTTATGCCCATTATTTTAATTGAATGGTTTATTTATTTGTTTTTCATTGTTGAATTTTGAGAGTTCTTATCCATTCTGGATACAGATACTTTTTTGCAAATGCTTTCTGTCTGAAGTTTATCTTTTTATTTTCTTAATATTGTCTTTCACATAGCAAATGTTTTGAATTTTGATGAAGTTCAATTCATAATTTTTTAAATGGATTGTACTTTTGAGGTCATGTCCTTGAACCCTTTGCCTACACTCCAGTTCACAAGATTTTCTCTTACGTTTTATTTGGAAAGTTCTATAGTTTTGCACTCTACATTTAATCCAATGATTCATTTGGAGTTAGTTTTTGAGTAAAGGGTGAAGTTAAGTTTGAAGGTTTTTAATTTATTTTCACATATGAATGTCTAATTGTTCCAACAACATTTGTTGAAAACACTCTTCATTTATCGTTGAATTGCCTTTGCAGTTTTGTCAAAAATCAACTGGCCATATACCAGTGGTTCAATGTCAGTGACTTATTTGGTGACCTGGCAAGAGGGCTCTGCCTAATATATACTGTTATAGATATGATAGACATAAGCCAGTATATCTGTAAGCCATAAGGTAGAGGAAGAATGAAAAGATGACAAATTAATTATAGCTGCAGTGGGAGCCATAGAGGCACACATGGAAGTAGCTGAAGTCTCTCCATACTGAAGCTCAGGAACAGGAAGCCATAGACAAATTGGACAGCAGAGCTTAGCTGGTATGCTCAGACAGTAAGAGACCTACTGTGTGACTTTGAATGGTTCTGTATCTGTGGTCAGTTTTAGCCAAGTCTCCATATCATGTTCCCTGAAGGGCTGAGGCCACCATTCCCACATGTATAAGATAAGGGAAGCAAGTTGTTCTCAGACACGATTAATTATCCCAAACCAGAGATACATATTTTCAGTTAATAATTTGCCAGTCAATTGTTTCCCTGTTTCTGTGGAAGAATCATTAATCTGGCATTTGAAAACAGCACATATGACTTTGCTTTTGACAGCTGGAGCTGAGTTTGTGGAGAAGCTGTCTCAAATAATTCTCTATCGTGTGTATCTCTAATTATTTTCAGATAGCTCTTAAGGAATGAGTACTTCTATAAAATATATCCAAGCTTTTAAGAATGTGAAATTGACATTACAGAATTGCCATTTGGTGAAATGTTGAGGCAATTTTTAGACTTTAACTGTGGCATTTTTTATCTTAAATGTCTTCGTTTTCAAGTAGCATAGGTGGATCTAAGTCCTTTATCTCAGTGTAAAATTGAGCCTCGGGGAACCACAGTATGTTTCAAAGTGATTAATCTGCATAAAAAGCTAATTACCTGCAATTTTTAAATGCCTTTATTTAAGATATGGAAATGCATCAAAATATTTTAATTCACAGAAATGCTCAAAATATTTTAAAGCAATTTAAATCTTTTTTAAAGCTTCCATTGCTCAAGGTAAATCCTTCCTTCCTTCCTTCCTTTCTTCCATCCTCCCTCCCTCCCTTCCCCCTCCTTCCCTCCCTCCTCCCCTCCCCTCCCCTTACCTTCCCTTCCCTCCTTCTTGGCTGTGAAGTTGTAACCTTGTAACTTCATTTGCAAACTGAATATGACTTCCAATAGCTGCAACATTAAACTTCCTAAACTGGGGCTTAGCTGGGAAAATTTTTTTTGTTTTTGAGACGGAGTCTTACTCTGTTGCTACGCTGGAGTGCAGTGGCGCGATCTCAACTCATTGCAACCTCTGCCTCCCGGGTTCAAGTGATTCTCCTGCCTCAGCCTCCGAGTAGCTGGGACTACAGGCACACGCCACCACGTCCAGCTAATTTTTGTATTTTCAGTAGAGACAGGGTTTTACCATGTTGGCCAAGATGGTGTCGATCTCTTGACCTCTTGATCCGCCCGCCTCGGCCCCCCAAAGTGCTGGGATTACAGGCGTGAGCCACTGCACCCACCCGGCCTAACTGGGAAAATTTCACACAAACGTTAATTGGAGGTGTAGTGAGTATTTGCACCATTAACAGATTTCTTTTAAAACATTATTATAATTTGTTTTAATCTTTGGCTTATTTTGTGAGGTTCTTCACTATCCTTCACAGCTCATTACAAGAATGGTTTTTTGTTTGATCCACTTCAATCTCAAAGTCATTTCTGAAAACTGCTGGAATTCAAAAAGCTTTAAACAGTCATGCAGGTCTTTAATTGTAAATTAGTTTTGACAGGACTACGATGCAGAGGGCTGCCTGGTTCCAAAGTGATGCTAGCTGACAACTCCTGCCTGCTCTGGGAGCAAAGGAACATGTGGAAGGAATTGTTCTTTTACATTTCACAGCTGGTCATTTCCTCTGCAGGGCAGCCCCTGACCCCTCTGAGAGATTCTGACACCCAGAAGGGAAGTGTTCCCACTGATGTAAAGGAAGTAGAGAACCAGTTTGACGCTAAGAAAAAAGGGAGGAGGGTGTGCTGAAAAGATCTGGGGGACAGAGAGACAAGACGGGCTTAAAACGTTTCCAGCAGGTTCGAATCTTTGCTGCATTGTTTCCTGTCATGAATGAAGACCAAAAATCTGTTTATTTGGAAGGGCCCAAAACATTCTGAGTTTTTCTTAATGCTATCTTTTAAATTTTTCTTTTTTTTAAGTGGACGAGGCAATAAAAATGAAGTTGTCACATGTGAATGATCCAAATTGAGGTTTGAGGAAAATTTACAAATATCTGTTTCCTGATCTACTCCAATACATTGGTGTGTGAGATATGTTTCCAATTACGAAGTGTGTGTGGATTAGATCAACAACATCAGATTGCAGCTTGTGTTTTCAGGACATTTTACATTCTCAACATATTATTTGGTCTTATATATTCATCACAATCCATTTATCCTCTGTATTTGTGCAATTTAACAGTGCAGTAAGAAAACATAAGAGGGCAATTGGATTGTATTATTATTCAAACAGGTTTGCCATTTTTTTCCACTGAGTAACATAGACCATTTCAAAAGTCAAATGATCAATTTTTTGGCAGCCACCAATGAAGTCATTTTCAAAAGTTCTTCTTCTTCTTCTTCTTCTTCTTCTTCTTCTTCTTCTTCTTCCTCTTCCTCTTCTTCTTCCTCTTCTTCTTCTTCTTCTCTTCTTCTTCTTCTTCTTTTTCTCCTCCTCCTCCTCCTCCTCTTCCTCCTCCTCCTCCTCTTCCTCCTCCTCCTCCTTCTTCTTCTTCTCTTTCTCCTCCTCCTCCTCCTCTTCTTCTTCTTTCTTCTTCCTTTTCTTCTTTTCTTCTTCCTCCTTCTCCTCCTCTTCTTCTTCATGCTTGAAACCCTTTTTCAGAATATATACTTGTCTGAGTGTGCTCTTTAAAGCAGGGAAAATGAACACTTACTTTCTCCCTGCCCTCCCACAGCCCTAATCCCATTTTGTGAATGTGTGTGTATATGTGTTCTTTAATCTATTGTGGTAGACATGTTAACAAAGGCAAACATGCCACGTATAATCAGCAATCATTGATAAGAATGAACTATTCATGATAATAATCCTATTTTTCTTTGGCCAATTTCTCTCATTTAATCTGTGCATATTCAGTGCCTCAGAATTAGACAAATGTCTTTTCAAAAGGATAATGCGGAAGTGAATATTGACAACAAAGAATATTGTAGTTCTTGACTCAATTTGATCCACTGCAATTGACCTAACAGGTTGGGAAAATCAGAGCGCTTCTAACTGGCCTCAGGAGCAGCAGTTTAGGAGGGAAGAGTTAATGTGGAGCTATGACAAGACACACTTAACTTTGGTCTCACTATTCAGTCTGGACATTCCCAGAAGTATTCATAGCTAAATGCACAGTCCGAATAAGTTGGAAATAAGGAACTGCGGGAATAAAATGTACTTTTAGTCAATTTTTACTAACATGTGAATTATGATGAAAGAAACCATGATTGGCTGGTGAGAATTTACTCTTTAGACATGGCAAAGTAGCAGCCTATCTGACTTGGCTTCACAATTGCTTCAGTTTATATAGTGGGTTTTATTATGGACTCTTTTCTGTACGTTCACAGCAGGTAGTATCTCCTTTGGCTCAGTACTGTCCTTTTCAAACTGATGAAACTACAAGAGGGAGTGAAAAATAAATGAAATTGTGAGACCTTGCACAAATAAATGGGCTCATTAACGCTTTCTAAACATGCGGCTGGCTTTAGACACTTGAATGGTATGACCGACTTCTCCCTCTTCCAGTAACTGACTTAGAAGCATGCAATTGACTTTGTTCAATGTGGAAATAATTGAAATCAAGATTGGCAGAAAGAGACACTATGGTGTCCAGAATGATCCACTCAATATGATTGGAGGAATCATATGCAATAGGAAATCCAAATTAGAAAACTAGGATTTTGAATGTGTTAAATTTGGCATCCTTTGGCATGAGGTAGGAGAAAAATCAGCCTCTCTTTTGAAATTATAATCATTATTTTAGATAAACAAATCTGTTCTTGAATGGTGGCACCCTGGCAATCATGCATGTGAGAAGTTCATTCTTTGTATCACTAATATATAGCACATTGTCCTTGAGTAGTTTATTACTAGAAGCCAAACGTTTGACCCACCTTCATTTGCAAAGCCATAGCTTTTTTTTTGTTGTCGTTGAGATAATTTGCTGTAATTAGTGAAACGGGCATAGGACCTTAATTATTTCCTCAGAATCTTGAGCATTTAGGTTCTTGTAAGGTATTATGTTGGTGCAAAGGTAATGGTGGTTTTTGCCATTACTTTCAATAGTAATTACCGCCATTACCTTTGCACCAACCTAAAAGAAGCTTCAGTAAAAAAAAAAACTTACAACACGTCTGCTTAGAAATAAAGGTATGGGAGTTATGAAACTAGTCTTAAAGATACCAGCGGTTCTCATAGTTAGGATGAAAAGGTTGTGAAAGCATAATTTAGTGAAAAACAGTACAGAAACCTAAAACATGAATTTTTTTCCTTTATTCTAATTCATGCTTTCTCTCCAAACAGATTCTTATTAGTTACTTTCTCTGTAGTTAGAATGACGTATTTTTTTTTTTTTTTATCAGCAAGTGCATCTTCACCAGCATTAAAACATTTTCTTTCGGACCATAATGAATAGTACATTCTTCTACCTTCACCTAGGCTTTCAGTAAAACATCTTTTATTTTCTTTCTCAGATTTTCAGATATCAGGTGTCATATGTGGGGCTAATTTTCATGAAATAAAGTTTTAACCAAGTGTGGTGAACTGGTTGTTGGAAAGACCAGGAATTCATCATAGTACTTTTTTTTCTCCGTAACACCTGTCATACCAGTTAAAACCTATGGTTGTTGATTATGTAGTTTGCAAATGTTTTCTCCCAATCTGTCACTTGCCTTTTCATCCTCTTAACAGGGTCTTTCACAGAGCAAAGATGTTTAATTTTAATTAAGTCCAGTTTATCAATTTCTCATTTTATGGATCATGCTTTAGGGGTCAATCTAAGAACTTTTTGCCTCACCCCAGATCCTAAAGATTTTCTCTTATTTTTTTTCCTAAATGAAAATCAATTTTGAGTTATTTTTAATGTAGCTACGGAGGTTTTAGTCAATTTATTTTTCCTTTGGATGCCAAATTCCTCCAGCACCATTTGTTGAAAGGCTATCTTTCTGCTATTGAATTACTCTTGCACCTTTCTTAAAAACCAGCAGTTAGGCATATTTTTGTGGAATCATTTCTAGCTTCTCTATTGTCTTCATTAGGTGTCTGTACCTATGCCAGTATCACACAGGCTTGATTTATTGTAGCTATATGGAGTGAAGCTTGATATCTGATAATTTCTCCCATTTATTTTTCTTTTTCAAGATTTCTTTAACTGTTCTAAAACCTGTGCCTTTCCATACACATTTTTGAAAAAGCTTGTCTGTATCTATTTTAAAAAACACACTGGGATTTTGGTAGGACTTTCATTAAATTTACAAAATAATTTAGGGAGAAGCAACATCTTTACTATGTTGAACCTTCCAATCCATGAATATGATATGTCCTTCCGTTTATTTGGATCTTGTATGATTTGCCTCATCAGAATTTTGCAATTTTGAGCACAAAGATCCTGTACATGTTCTGTTAAACTTATTCCTGAGTATTTCATTATCAGTGGAACAACTGTAAATGATATTGGGTTTTTTATTTTGTTTTCCACAGGTTTATTGCTAGTATATAGAACTGTGATTGGTTTTTGTGTGTTGATTTTGTATCCTGCAACCTTGCTGAAGTCATGTATTGGTCCTATGAAGTTTTGGCTAGATTCCTTGAAATTTTCTATGTAGACAATCAACATCATCTGCCAATAGCAATAGATTTATTTATTTTTTCTTTCTAACCTGTATATCTTTTACTTCTTCATCTTGCCTGATTATAGTTGTTGGAAGTTCCAGTACTATGTTGAATAGCAGAAGTGCATGTAGACGTGCTTGTCTTATTCTTGGTATTTGGAGGAAAGCATTCAGTTTTTTTAGCACAACATACAATAGCTGTAAGTTTTTTGGAGATGCTTTTTATTAAGTTGAGATGTTAATGGTTACCTTCTATTCCTATTATCATACATGGATTTTGGATTTTATCAAATTTCACTTTGTTTTAATAGATATAATCCTATGATTTATCTTCTTTAGACTATTGATACGGTGGATTCAAATAATTGATCCATCTTCTTTTATACTTGTAATAAATCCCACTTGATCATGGTGTATCTTTTTTTTATACATTGTTGAATTCAATTTGCTAATATTTTGTTGAGGAGTTTTGTGTCTAATCTTCTGGGAGATATTGATCTGTGGTTTTGCTCGTTATGTCCTCTCTTTGTCGGGTTTTGGTGTCAGGGTTATAATGGCCTCATAACATGAGTTAGGAGTTGTTCCCTCCTATATTTTCTAGAAAAGATTGTGTAAAATTGATGTTTACTCTTCTGTAATTGTTCGGTAGAATTGTCTAGGGAAACTATCTGGATGTAGGATTTTAACATTACAAATTCAACGTATTTAATAGTTAAAGGACTATTCAGGTTATCTATTTCATGTTGGTGAAGTTTTGGTAGTTTGGAGTATTTGAGGAATTGGTCCATTTCTTCTAAGTTGTTGAGTGTAAGAGCATAAAACTTCTCAAGATATTCTTTTATTTCATAATGGCTGCAGTATCTGTAATGATATCCCATTTTATTCCTGATGTTGGTGATTTGTATCTTCTTTCTTTTTATCTTTGTCACTCTTGCTGGAAATTTATCAGTCTTATTGATTTTTTTGAAGAATCGCCTTCAAGTTTCATTGACTTTATTTTTTTTCCTGTTTGCAATCTCATTGGTTTTTGTTCTTATAACTATTATTTTCTTTCTTGTACTTGCTTTGGATTCATTTTGCTCTTTTCCTAGGTTCTTGAGGTGAGGCTGTAGATTATTGATTTTCCTCTTTTCTGATGTAAGCATTTAGTGCTATGAATTTTTCTCTCAACATTGGTTTAGCTATATCCCATTAAAGTTCACATGTTGCAGGAGAATCGCTTGAATCTGGGAGGTGGAGGTTGCAGTGAGCCGAGATTGTGCCACTGCACTCCAGCCTGGCAACAGAGTGAGACTCTGTCTCAAAAAAAAAAAAAAAAAAAAAAAAAAGTTGATATGTTGCATGTTCATTTTATTTAGTTCTAAATCTATTTTTGTTTTCTTTGAGACTTTCTTTTTTGACCTACAGATTTCTTAGAAGTATATTGTTTAATTTCCAGGAGTTTAAAAAGTTTTCTCTTGTCTTTGTGTTATGGAATGCTAGTTCTATTTAATTATGGTCATGGAACATATTCGGTATGATTTTAATTCTTTTAAATTAAATGAAGTTTGTTTTATAGTGCAGGTATGACATTTGTGAATAATTCATGGGGACTTGAAAAAATGTGTATTTGCTGCTGTTGAGTAAAGTGCTTTACATATGTGTATGTATATGTGTGTATCTATTAATCTCTTTCTCATATTATGTTTGATGATTGTGTTGTTCAAATCTTCTATATTATTGCTAGTTTTTTGTCTAGTACCTCTATCATTTGGTGAAAGGGGAATGTTGAAATCCTTAACTAGAATTTGTAATTTTTCGATTCTTCTTTCATCAGTATCAGTTTTTACTTTACTCATTTTTGAGGCTCAGCTATTTGTGTATAAGTATTTAAGATTATTGTGTCTTACCGGTAGATGGATAATTTAATTATTATATAATACTCTCTCTGGTAATTTTTTTGCTTTGAAGTCTTTTTTATCTGACGTCAATATAGTCAATCCTGCTTTTTAAAAATTAATGCTGGCATGGTGGTATATATTTCCCATTTTTTCTTACTTCTGATCTACCTGTTTCACTGAACAAATTAATGTTTGTTTTCTCATTGTTTCCCTTGTGTCTTAGTTTGTTTTTCTACTTTACTTGCCTTCTTGTGCAATGCTTTAACACTTGTTAGAATTCCATCTTGATTTATTTATAGTTTTTGAGCATATCTCTTTTTGTAGCTTTCATAGTTGTTGCTCCAGGTATAACTGTATATACTTGTGACTTATCACAGTTGCCTGGTGTCAACATTTTACCACTTTGAATCAAGTGTAGATACCTTACTTCCATTTCAGTTTCTTTACCTTCCCTACTTTTAAGCATTGTCTTGAGTGTTAAGTGTTATAATTTTCATTCTGATTATCAAATATGATTTATAAAACTCAGGGACAGCGTAGAATACTGTATATCATAACATTTGATGCCCCTTTTTTTTTGCTTTTTTTCTTCCAGATGCTCCAAGATTTCTCTGTTTATCATTTCCTTTCTGTTTGAGAAACTTTCATTAACCAATTTTTAAGGGTAGGTCTGTTAGTGACACATTCTTTTAGTTTCCTTTCATCTTAGAATGTTTATTTCTTCATTCCTGAAGGACAGTCACTGTATATAGAATTTGTGGCTGATTTTTTTTTTTTTTTTGGTAACTGAATGACGTTGTGCTATTTTGGGCTCCATGATTCAACTTGTGCTTCTAGGGCTCCCACTGGCCTCTGCTGGTGATGCCTAAGAGGACAGAGTTTCCCTGGGTGTGGCCCCCTGGCGCCTCTGGGTTAGGGAAGGCAGTCTCTGTCCTCAGGCTGATAAGAGGCTTCCTGTGGGAAGGGAACATCACATTCCAGGGTCTGTCGGGGGATTGGGGGCTGGGGGAGGGATAGCATTAGGAGAAATACCTAATGTAGATGATGGGTTGATGGGTGCAGCAAACCACCATGGCACGTGTATACCTATATAACAAACCTGCACCTTCTACACATATATCCCAGAACTTAAAGTATAATTAAAATAAAGAAAAAAGAGGCTTCCTATGTCAGGCACTTGCAATAGGCCACCATTTGGCTACCTGTTGTCTCTCAGTGGGGGAGGAACTCTCAAGCAGTAGGGAAGGCGAATGCTTTCCCTGGAGGCAGGGAAGTAGAGAAGTCCCACAGTTGCTGTGGGACTCACCTGGTGTTGTCCTGGCAAATTCCCTTTGATGAAGGGATGAGCATGCCAACCTGGACCACTCTCTGCTGATAGGGTGAGGTCAGGAAATGTCAGGTCAGAGTGGGGTCCTCTGTTGGTGGTGGAGTTTAACATGCCTTGCCCGAAGTTGTTGCCCCAGTCCTGGAGTCTCTAATTACTTTGCCCACCTCTTTACACCTTTTGGAATTCTCCTTTGATGGCCTCTTGGATTAATTCCAGGGCTTATTTTGTACTTAGTGAGGAAAACAAAGCAGAATTGAGTTTGTGCCATCTTTTTCCACCTGGAAGCCCTCCTATTATTTTTTGTTATTTTTTTTTTACTAAGGGCCTTTCATCATTTTAAAAGTTTCTTAGCATTTTATTGAGGGATCCAGAAGTTAAAAAAATAGTAATTGTGGTAAAATATAGATAACGTAATATTTACCATTTCAACCATTTTTTAGTGTGCAGTTCAGTAGCGTTAAATGGATTTGCCATCATCCATCTCCAGAATTTTTTTCATCTTTCAGAACTGAAACTCTGTACCTATTAAACAACTCCCCATTTTCCCACTCCTAGCCTCTATAAGCTCTATGCTGCTTTCTGCCTCTATGAATTTGCCTACTATAGGTCCCTCATATAAATGGAATCATGCAGTGTTTGGCTTATTTCACTTAGCATAATCTTCAAGGAAGGAAGGAAGTTTTAAATTGGTAAATCTTGTTACTCACTGAAGTGTTTTAAAGTAGATTTGTGAAGTAGAGTTTAAAATTAGTAGTTAACTTGAGATTTTGAAAGTTGTAAAGCCTGGTACATAGTATGAACGCAACAACGTTAGCTGTTACTATTACTTTCTGCAGGGTTTTATTATCCATGTTTCTTCTGTCTAGTATGAATAAAGTCTGCAGTGGATTGTTGATCCACATTTCTGTTTTTGTTCTTTTTTGTGCTATTTTTACTTTAAAAGCATCACCCTGCAGCCCTTATCTCAGTCGCCTGTGGGAGATGTGCAAGGAAGGATAGACAGAGAGAACTCAGATGAGTCCAGATTCAATGGAGGAATGGAACCTGAATATGGGAGGCAGAGACTTAAACTGAGATTTCGACTTTCATTTAATGTCCTGTGTCAAGTTCCTTAATCTCTGAGTCTTTGTTTCTCAGCTTTAAAGGCGAGATAACAGGCCCTGACATTATAAAATATTGGTAAATTACTAATATTTACTAATACAATATGCAATAATATTAATAATTTATAATATTGTATAGTATCAATAACTTATAATATATTACTAATTGTTAACATTGATGATATAATTATATTATATAATGTTAGTAAATTACTATTATATTAATAAATTATTACTATTATTCTATATTATAAATTAATATTATTACATAATATATTAGTAAATATTAGTAATTTACTAATATTATATAAGGTCAGGGCCTGATATCTCCCCTTTCTCGGTGAAGAAACAAAGCCTCAGAGGTTATATCATATAATATTTGTATTACATTTTTGTAAAGTTTTGTACACATGGTAGGTGCTCACAAAATCATCATTGTTTTACTGAGTTGACTCTGATAATGGTAGACACACAATTGCGTGTGTCTACACTCTGTTTCACTGTGGTGAAATGACTCCCTCTATCTCTATGTGTAATTTTCTCTTAGCAATAGGAACTTAGTAGTGGATAAAATAATGTATTTTTCCAAATAGCTTTGGACGTTCTAAGTTCAGTGAAAGTGTTAATTGATGATAACCAAAGAAAGCTCATGAGCAGCATATTAAAATTTCTGCATTCTTTTATTGTGCTTAAGATGGAGAGTTTAATATTTTTGAGAATCAGAAAAAAAGAAGCTGACTTTCATAAAGGGATAGAATCTTAAGTATGGCAGAAATGGATGACATTTAAAGATTATTCTTGAGAAGAATAATGAAGTATATTCCTGCTCTTACATTATAATCATATTATATTAGGTAAGATATACATGTAGGAAACTATTTCTGTCTTAAGAATGCAGGCCGGGCGCAATGGCTCATGCCTGTAATCCCAGCACTTTGGAAGGCCGAGGCAGGTGGATCACGAGGTCAGGAGATCAAGACCATCCTGGCTAACACGGTGAAACCCTGTCTCTACTAAAAATACAAAAAATTAGCCAGGTGTAGTGGCAGGCCCCTGTAGTCCCAGCTACTCGGGAGGCTGAGGCAGGAGAATGGCATGAACCTGGGAGGCGGAGCTTGCAGTGAGCCGAGATCACTGCTACTAGATTGGGATGATGACAAAAATATTTACAGGCAATAAAGTTAATCAAAATAAATAAGTAACATATGCAAACATTTTTATCAACTGGAAAATATTTTATAAATATAATGCATTATTCTCAATCAAATAACTGCTGGAATTCATAAGTAGCACCAAAGTGTGACCTGGGCTGTGGACCAATGTGGAAAGATGGATCCAAACCACTCAGCCAGTCAGTGGTTTGGACAGAGTGAATGTAGGGATGGTTTTCTTGCATTCCTGCTGCCAACTATATTAAAATGTCCCCAAATATTAAACCATTAAGTTTCTTCACATTTCTAGAAAACCAGTTCATAAAATATTAGGTAATCCTACCTTTTAGTAAACATCCTAGGCTTTGGAGATAATAATAATCCTGGCCAAACCTAAGCTCCATTTTTATAAAACTTGCCGTTTGTCAACAGTTACATTTTTGAAGATCAGTTTGTTCATTTGTACTTCCCAAGATGAAAAGAGAATTTCTTGTTTCTTGCCATCACGACAAACATTTATCTACTTATGTTGGCAGCATCCATGAGCTGTTCATAGGTTCAAACCGTGCAGCTAGCTGAGGATGTTATCAACTCATTACCTGCATTTGGGTAATTTCTAGGTTATTCACTGTTAATATCCCAATTTGATACTTGGCTATAGTTTTTAATGTGGTTAGAACAATTTTTTCTTAACTGGAAACTAGATTTTTAAAAGTCACATTTCATTTAAAAAATGTTAAGCATTGGTTTCTCATGTAGATAAACTCCTTAATACTAAGATTTTGTTCTGTGGTTACAACCATGGTCATTGCAAAATGTTAGTTATTGAGAATTTGTAGTTTGGTGCTTATTTTGGCCTTTAAACTGTTCATTTGTACTGTGAACTAGATTATGTGCTTCTAACTGTCAGTTAGCTGAATGCATTTCAAGTCAATTTACTAAAATAGTCACTGTTAAGCGGTATATTTGGACAGAGTTGACACCTTTGACATTTTCTAAAATGGCAAAAATAACTGTATTTAAGGGTATGATTTATGAATGCTGTGTGCCTCCAGAACTTCTATTTGATTATAGTTTTCAGGTTAGCTACTGAAACTCTTTCCATAAACTGCTGAAAGGGCACCTTATTAGTGCTGTGTGATCAGAGATTTAACACAGACGGACACACACAAACACAGAAAAACATGATATTGATCCCCAAAACAATGACCTTCTTGTTGCTTCTTAGAATTGCCTTTGTCTCACGAGAATGGAACAGTTGGGACCACGGTAGAAGCAGAGAGTAAGGAAGAAGAAAGATTGATAGCATGAAACTGCCTTTGTGAAACACATATTAATGGGTATAAATAAGAAAAGCAACTTGCAATGATTAGAAAGTATTTTGAATCCTTAGTTGTCTTTTAGATTGCTGGCCTCTATTAAAAACTTCTTAAAATAATAGATAGGTTTAATTCCTCAAGCAAAAGAAAAATTATATCATTTTAAAGATTTTCCATATTTATTATATAGATGTGACTTGACTATGGGAAAAAAGAGCAAATTCTCATGTATTGCAAGTTTTAAATGTACCAGGCTAAGGTTTACTTAATTAGAACCTCGAGGCAATAAAGGAACCCTTTTTAAAATTCTGTGATTCTTAATATGCTAAATAATGCAAAGCTTCGACTCTTCAAGCATGAGACACACATCTGGCAGCTTAACATTTAAATTACGAGGGGGAAACCCTCACTTCAGTAGTAATTTTCTCAAAGAAAAGAATAGGGAATGGATTACAACTAAATTTAATTTCTTTTTAAATTTTCATCTTGTCTAATTGCAGGCATTTTTCTGGGTTCTTTGTATTCATATATTTTCACACATATTTTCTGTAGATTTTATTCATCTTTAATTTGAGATGCTTCTCACTATTAGAGCTCTTGAAAAATTGTGGTATATTTTACATAGAAAATTATCTCGAGACATCTATCTGATCTCAAGTAATAAAGACATGGTATAGAAAATAAAAGGAAAATGGATTTCCAGATACCCATAAAAATATTTTTGACAAAATGGCAACATTTTTCAGTTGGCTCCACTTTCAAGCTTTATTTATTTTTTTTTCAGTATTAATGTTTTCTCTGTTTTGTCATTTTCTGACTGGTTTTTAATGCAAAAGTTATTATAAGCAGCATTCTCTCTTCATATTTCTCCAAAGGACAGTGTCAGATCCTTGATTAATTTTACAAAGGTCATTTGGAAAAACCATTAAAAACATGCCAAGTAAAAAAGATTAGCACAACACAGGGAAAATACACTTTTATAAACATATGCATTTATACAGAGATAGGGTGTTGTAATGTTATACAGTTTTGACAAGTGTTTTCCTTGTGCACCTCATGTATTATTAAAAATATGACTTCCATTTATTTTTTCTGGGTGATACCAGCTGACACATTCCCAAGGCATTGGAAGGTTAATGTTACTTGTAAACATTTAATCTTTTTCTCAATGTACAAGGATCTGATAGTTAAATAGAATCGTAGTTCCATAACATAAAGTGGATTTAAAGTGGACTTTCAAAATAATTAACCAATATTTGCATTACTAGCGTATAACATGGGTGCTAGTTAGCTCATGACAAATTCTTATATTCATTTCTACTTTCTAATTAAAAAATTAAACAATATTACAACCTCCAATTTTAGCTGTGGTAGAATAGTTGGTTCCATGCTAGCTCTTCTGCTGTAATCAACCATTACAGTGGAAAGAATTTATGGAGCAACTGCATTGGAGCACTGCCATCAAAAGGCGTGACTATGATCCCTGAAAGAAGAGAAACTGATAAGCAAACTCTACGCGGTGAACAGTGGCCCTGGGTGTAATAACCTGACTGTAGAGCAGTAGAATGAGAAAGTCCCACTGAGCTCAGGAAACCATTGCAGCTGAAACAGCTGCAATCTGCAAAGTAGAACAGAAAGCAGGAAGATGTCAGTATAAAAACCTCCCCCCCGGGTTCTTGGTCGCGGGTTATGCTGTACTTAACCATAGTGAGGCATACCAAGGCTTTGCTAAATGGCTACTTACTTGCTAGAGGCTCTGGTAGACCTGAGAGCAGAACAGACATACTAGAATTCAAACAGAGGGGGAGTTCAAACGCAACCAGAAGAGGCATGTTAATACCTCATTATCAGTTTGGTCAGAAAATTAGGATACCAAGTGTCTGCATATTATACATAAAGAGCACGCTCTAAAGTAGCTTACTCTATACCCACCCAAAGAAAGCCCAAAACAAGCCCTGACACTGTAAGCAGAGGAGTTAGAGCTTTGAGGTTGAGCTTTGTCAAGGAAGAGTGGCTTCGTGGCTTGGAAACCCTTGGGTTGGTTGGTTGGTTTGTTTTTTGTTTTTTGGACCTGCTGTAACAAAATGTAAATTCAAGACTACAGGAGTTGAAAGGAATCAGCCAAAAATTGAACTGCCTGCTAGAAAAAAAAAATCAACACCTTTCAGAGGAAGATAAGGGAATCCAGAGACTTCTCCAATGCCCGTTATACAATCTACAGTTACTAGACATGCAAAGAAATGAGAAAATATGAGCCTTAGGCAAGGAAAAAAGTGGATAAAAATAACACCAAAATGATTCAGACATTAAATTTAGCATGGAAAAATATTAAAATATCCATTGCAAATATGTTCACAAATTTAAAGAAAATACTTTCACTCATGGCCTTCATCAGTGAATAGATAGGGTGTCTCAGTAGCAATATGGAAATTATAAAATAGTAACCAAACACAGAACTGAAAATCCAAGAATTAAATGAGAAATTTATTGCATAGGCTTAATAGCAAATTAGAATGGCAGAAGAAAAAATCAGTGAGCTTGGACACAGAACAATAGAAATTAACTAATCTGAAGTAAAGAAAAGAAAAAGGTGGGAGAAAAATGAAGAGAGACTCAGAGACTCATGGGGCAATATCACATAGTTTGACATATATGTCAGTAATAGGAATCTTAGAAAGAAAAGTATAATAAAATGAGAGAAACTGTACATTAAAAAGTGATGACTGAAAATTTTCCAAATTTGAGGAAATATTTTGACTTATAGCTTGAATACTCTCAGTGAACTCCAGAAGAGTAAATACAAAGGAAGCCATACTTAAGGATATCATAGTCAACTGCTGAAGATCCAAATTAAAGTGAAAATCCTGAAAGTAGGAAGAAGGAAAAAACACATGTTACAGACAAGGAAACAATAATGTGAGAAATTGTTGACATTGTCAGAAAAAATAGAGACAAGAAGTCAATATAATGATATATTTTAAAATGAGGACAAAGAATGTCAATTCACAAATCTATATCTAGCAAAAGAATCCTATAAAAGTGGAGGGTGAAATAAAGACATTTTCAGATGAAGGAAAGCTGAAATAATTTTTCTCCAGCAGATCAGCACTATAAAAAAGTTAAAAATGTTCTTTAAGCTGAAAGAAAATAATACAAAATGATCTATACAGGGGAATGGAGGGATATCAGAACTGCAGTATGTATGTAAATATGAAACACTAAGTTTTCTAATAATTGTCTTAAAATGTAATCTACTTTTTAAACAAAATGGCATTGTAAGATGGGGTTATAAAGCATGTGTAGATAAAAGATATGACAATTGCTCAAAGGATGAGGGAGTGGGAACTGGAATTATACTGTTGTATACTGTGTAGGGAGAAGTATGAAGTGGGTAATGTGAACTGTCAGGTATGAAGTGTGGCAGTCGATAACATTGACTTGAAATATTGTGGGATAATTTTAGGATGCATGCTATTAGTCCTAAAGCAAACAGTACCAACCTAAAAAATATAGCCAAGAAAATAATAGAGGAAACAAGATGAAAGACTGAAAACATACATGAGTCACCCAAAATAATGCAGGAATGGGTCAACAGAACAAAAAACCCAAAGAGACAAAGCACAAATTAATAGCAAGATGTCTACACATACTCAATCATGTCAATAATTACATGAAATATTCAAGATTTAATAAATTAAAAAGCAGGGATTGCTAATGTGGATTTAAAAGCAAGACTCAACTATATGCTGTCTACAACAGATGCTCTATAAATTTAAAGACAGAAATAAGTTGAAAGTGAAAAGACTAAAAAATGTATGCCACGGAAACACTGTATGTAAGAAAGCTGGTGTGGCTACATTAATATCTAATGTTAGAAATCTAATAGTAGACTTCAAGACAAAGATAAAGAAAGGGGACGAATCATTAGGAAGACATACACTCCTAAATATACACTGAATGGCAGAAATTGAAAATTCGTGGAACGAAAACTCTTTTCCTTTGCTGGCATATTTATCAAATGACCCAGCAATTCCACTCCTATGTATTTGCCCAAGAGAAATGAAAACATTTTCCTACAAGAGTATTTGGATATGAATTTTCATAACAGCCATACTCAGAGTCAAAACTTTGAAAGACTTAAATATGAAGAATCAATAAATTGTAGTTCATTCATTAAAGGGAATACTACTCATCAATAGAGTAATGAACTTCCCATACAAGCAATAACACAGATGAATCTCAAGCTACTGTTCTGAGTGAAAGAAGCCAGAACCAAGAGAGCCAATACTGCATTATTATATCTATGTGAGATATTGTAGCAGAATTCTAATTTATCATGCTGGGGATCAGATCACTGTTTGCTAGGAGTGTGTGTGTGTGTGTGTGTGTGTGTGTGTGTATAAAGGGTACAGGAAAACTTTTTAGTGTGATGCAAAAAATGTTTTAGATTTTATTTGTGTTGGGAGTTACATGGAATTATCCATTTGTCAAAACCCATTTAATTGTACATTTAAAATATGTACATTTTATTGTATATTAATTGTAACTCAACAATTTGATTTAAAAAAATATCAGTTGGATTCTGGTTTTCTGGAGTTAGCCAGGGGAAATGCAGGGTGTGTAGTAACAAAATTGCCAGGGACATCCTCATCTGATGTGAGCTTGTAGAAGCTGCAAGGAGTGAGGTGGCCCTTGCCCTGTCCCCTAAATACCATGTAGGGTTTGGGTGACAAGGTGAGAGCTTGTATGAAGGGAGTTTGCAGTCAACTCCCAATAGTCCTCCTGTATCTTAGCTCCCCAGCTTCTAGTTTTTTGGGTGGAATTCCTGAGTCAAATAGTTTGCTTATTGTAAATGCTAATAGATGTTACTAGTCTGCTTTTCAAAAAACTTTTAAAAATACATTTTGACAAGCAACATATAATAAAATCAATTTATTTCCACCTTTTTTCTTAAAATGGCCTTTTTCTTCTTGATCCCCCTTCAGGCCTTCCATCCATAGTTCCCTAACTCCTCTTCAATTCACCTGCCCCATATAATCCATTTTATTTTATACATAAAAATATTATATTATATATAATATAAGTAATGTAAAAAAGAGATTATATATAATCTCCTTTTTGTGCAGTGATAAAAAGTACCTCTATAAATGTACATGTCCATATGTTCATTTGTGTGTGTGTGTGTGTGTGTGTGTGTGTGTGTGTGTCTGATTATATGGGGCAGGTGAATTGAAAAGGATTTAGGGAACTATGGATGGAAGGCCTGAAGGGGGATCAAGAAGAAAAAGGCCATTTTAAGAAAAAAGGTGGATGTATATTTTATGACTTGTAGAGATGACCATAATTTCTTATTGAATGGAAAATTAAAATTTGCAAAAAAAAGCACATGCCATGAATTTATCTCAGTTGAATGTTTCTCTTTCTCTCCCCTCATCCCCCATCTGCCTGTACCTGCAGAGGTAGGAAGCAATGAAGGCTCAAGCTAGGGTTGTGGCGAAAGGGAGGAAGAAATGGCCATTAAACTACTGAATGAGGTAGAAGATAATGTGACAAAGCATTAGATGTGGATGACAATAGAGTAGAAAAATTCATGGAAGACAAGAGAATTTTGGGTCTGGGTGGAAAGAGAATAGCAAAGTCGTGAAAAGAGATAGTGCCCTCGGACAGCAATGAGGGTCAGTTGTGTTTTGCATGTCTGAGCCTGAGGTGTTGGCTCAGACCCCAGGTGCCATGGCTGCTTACCTGGCAGTGGGAAAGCACGCAAGAAATCATAAAAGGACCCCACAAGTTCTTTGTTTAATTTATATTTTGTGTATGTATGGTTTGACTATTTCGTGTGAAAAGGTTTTGTAAGCTTATAAGTAAAAGGAGAAACAATGAAAGAAAACATTGATACACAGGAGTTTATAAGACTGAAAATTATATCTTATAAATATACACACAGCTCTCAAAGAAATTAAAAGACACACTGCAAACTAAGAAAAATATTTTGAACCATCATGTTAGGCAGAGTTAATATCTTTAATATGGAAAGATAAAAATTACAAAGAAAATATTAAATATTCCAGCTGAAAAATTAGGGGGAATGGCATGGAAGGGAATCTACATAAATGCTCAGCAAACATAAAAATATTCAAATGTATTAGATTTCTAGGATTTCAAATTAAAACAACAATGAGATTTATTATTTTGTCTACTAAGCAGACAAGTTTTGGCAAGCATGTGGATAATTAGACACGTTCCTGCATTGGCTGGTTACAATATAAACTTTGATAATTCATTTTATAGAGCAAAGACAAAAACCTTGAGCATCTGATTTAGTATCCCTGACCCTGAATACTCATTTTAAGAAAATAAGCACAGAAGGACAATAAAATTTTTGTAAAATATGTACAACATGATATAAATATTAAGCAAAGGGGGCTGGTTAAATAAAACCATATTATGTATTACTATGCAGTAATTAAAAATTATACATTGGGGAATATTTAATAGCCAGAAAAAACAATATGTTATGTGTAAAGAAGGATGCAAATAACATATATGATACGATCATACTTTGGTAAAATATTATAGATACATTTATGTAACATAATTCTATGACACATACAATTACTACATAGCATATATAAATAATTGTCTAATATGCATATATTGCTATATATGTTTTTATAAATAGGAAGGTCTGTTTTAAAGCAAAGAACATTTTACATGAGAACCAAGAAAATATTAAAGACTTTTAGGAGTCTCTGTCTTCGATAGAGACTTTATTACCTTAACATGCACACCATCACTACATTTTATTAACATATAAGGATGTAAATCCTGTTAAATTAGAAATTAGTTCTAGCAGGAAGATTTCTAAGTTCTTTTTGTGGTCAAAAAGAACTGGGATTAAATTTCAGATTTTCCTCTAATTGGCTGTCTAATTTGAGGGAAGTTCTTTGATCTGAGTCTCAATTTCCAAATTTATCAAATGGGGGAATGGTAACTATTTTAACAGTTGTGTGTGTGTGTGTGTGTGTGTGTGTGTGTGTGTGTGTGTGTGATGTAAACAACATAATATATACAGAGTTCTTAGAAAATACTAAAAAATGCATTCTATTATTGTTTCATATTTATATTTGTTATTCCAGCTAGAAATTATACACTAAGAATTTAAATTATAAGGCTTTAAAAAGAATAATACATTAAAAATGTATACTAAATATATAAATATTGTAGTATTTAAATAATATTTAATGTAACCATTAAATCATCCATTATAATATATATGCCAATTATATATAAATATTAAATTAATCATTAGATTATAATTACATATTATCTGCAACATATAATTGTATATTTGTTTTAATATGTTTATGTATGTTTTATATATGTTTAGATATAATGTTTTATATGTAAACATATATAGTCATTATGATTAATTTAATATGTAATTAATTTATGATAAATATAAATTACCGTTATCAAAATTTTATATTTAAATAATATATTTAAAACCTAAATAAAAATGTTTTCTAGACTACTTTTCCTTCTCCTCCCTTTCTTATTGTCATTTTGACCATAACAATCTCACTACCAACAAATGCTGTTTTAGACCCAAAGAGAGGGAGTTCTTCCAGGGATCTATGTGACTGAAGTATTAGGTGTTTCAAAGAAGAGGTGCCTGACTCATCTGAATTTCCATGAAGAAGGATATTTCTCAGTATCTGCCTTTATCTTCGCGCAGTACACTGGAGGTAGTGTCAAGAAACACAATGAAACATCATTTCCCAAAATGCTTGAGCCACACAGACCTAGACTGGGGAGCAAGAAGCTGGCGGGGTCACCCTTTGGGAGGAAAAGGTTTCTGAAGCATGCAGACATACAATCTATGTCCTCAGAATCTTACACTTCTTAAATCTCATTGTAAAATGTCTACAAGGGGCCGGGTGCTGTGGCTCATGCCTGTAATCCTAGCGCTTTGGGAGGCCGAGGCGGGTGGATTGCCTGAGCTCAGGAGTTCAAGACCAGCCTGAGCAGCATGGCAAAACCCCTCTCTACTAAAAATACAAAAAATTAGCCGGGTGTGGTAGCACATGCCTGTAATCCCAGCAACTCAGGAGATTGAGGCAGGAGAATTGCTTGAACCCAGGAGGTGGAAGTTGCAGTGAGCTGACGTCATTGTGCCACTGACAGCCTGGGCAACAGAGCAAGACTCTGTCTCAAAAAAAAAAAAAAAAAAAGTCTACAAAGGCAATTTCAAAAGACAGGGGATGACACCATTCAATTCCTGGAGAGAGAAAGGGGGACAGAAAACAAGGCTTTGACTGCTCACAACACATGCTATCTGTTTTGAAAAAAATCTGTCAGGTCAACCCCCATATCAAAGCTGTGGCTTTCCTGAAGCACTCCAAGCACCTGCATCTTCTGGGCCAGGATATTAGTCACAAGACCCTGGGGATAGACCTTGCCATATGGGTTCACTGAAATGAGTGGTCAAGACAATGACTTTGGAGGCATAAAGCTGTAGGAATACCTGCTTATAAATGCTATTGCCATTTATTTATTTATTTTCCTTTAAGCAACATCTGATTGGTTCAGAAATACTGTGCAAGGCACTATAGGAAAAGCAAGGGTGAAAAGATACCTTGTCTCTTAAGGAGTTGGCAATCTAGAACAGTGCACTCAACTGGCCATGTTTTGTCCCAACAGACATTTGGCAAAGTCTAGAGACATTTTTGGTTGCCACAACTAGTGGTTGGGGGTTAGGTAGAGGGTGCTGCTGGCATTGAATAAGTAGAGGCCAGGAATGCTGCTAAACAAAGCACGGTGCAGCCGTGTTGTAATTCTGTAATTCTGTAATTCTGTACAACACAGAATTATCCAGCCCAATATGTCAATAGCGCCGCAGCTGAGAAACCTTGATATAGAACACATCACACACGATATGCCAAAGGTACCTAAAACTCTATTTTCTGGGCTTACATGTTCAATTAAGGAGTTCTCTTTTTTGTTTTTAATATTATATTGCAAAACTTATGAGTCAGTTTCTTGGGAGAGTAAGTAAGTGAGAAGCACTGGTTGCAGGCAGGGACCAAACCTCTCTAATCTCAGAGTTTCATATTGGACCATTGATACAAGATGCAGGGAGGCTTTCTTGAAAATGTGATCCCAGAAACAGCTGATGATAGAGAATCCTACCCAGATGAGGTAGGAAAGCAGACCAGACACAGCTACTGCTTGTAAATTACATCCCATGGTGTGGCTGAGGGTAGAGTTCTACTTGAAGTTCATACACTGGCTGAATTAAAACCAGCGACCTAGCACAACTTAGGGCCTTCGTTTTAGAATTCTTTCTTCTACCCCCATTTGTCAAGGCATATATAAGCTCTTTGATTTCAGCAGTGTAAGCTTACACATCCTCTGAAGTGAAAATGTGTCATATATTTTTTTCCACTTTTTTGTTTTTAACCCTAGGGAGCATTCCTAAAAAAATCGGTCCCTGTTCTATGGACTATGATCCCAATCTCTTAGAAGAAGACGATGAACTACACTCTCAGGTAAAATGAAGGCTGTAGAAGTTGGCTTTGGAAAGACCATGAAAACAGCAGCCCCTGATTATAAACTATGATTTCTTAAAATGTATTTCCAGGTAGAAAGTAATTTGGTCTTCAAAGCAGGTTTTGAAGTGTGGGATGTGGTAAAGCGGCTGACGTTTGAGAAATCAGCAATGCCAGTAGATTTCTGATTGGAATCAGACTTCTTTAAGCTATTGAAGACTTTAGTTAAATTAATCAGTCTACAAGACTCTTTTCAGTTCGAGCAGAGTGATTAATAGATCTGCTGATTGTGCTGTGTTTCAGTGATTTATTTGGCACGATCCTGGCTGCCATGAAGTCTGTATAGAAACTATCTTGGTAAACTTATATAAATTAAGTAGACTGGATTTCCAAAACATTGGCCAAATTAATATTACTTGTATTACTGGATCCAGTTTTTAGATACTTAACATTTTAAAAATCTGTATCTGCCTAGACCAGGTGACTTCGAATTTTGAGTATTTAAAAAATTTAGCTTTGCTAGAAAATTGAAGTAAAAGAACCCGGCCCACCCCTACAACCTGGCCCCTTTGTGTACAAGTTACCTGAATCATTATCTTAATTTTATACTTTCCTGACTAAATGCATATAGTTCTACAGAGCCATCTTTCATGTCTTACTTTCACTACTGACATTAAAGTAAATCTTTCCTTCTTTAACCGCTAAATTGTGGGCCATCATTTAATCAAATAAATGACTGTATTTTAATGTTCAGGTGGCTACTTACAGCATGTACAATTGTGATAGTTTCTATGTTGCAGACTTTTTATATTGCAGATCTTCTATATCACAGGCTGTATTAAAGATAAAAGCTCTGAAATAAAAAGTTTAGTGAAATCTGCAACAATGAGAGGTACCATTTACTGAGAATTAGGACATTACTAGGTGCTGGTGAATTTTCTCAGTCTACAACAAAAATGACTCATTTTATTCTCACTGTGAATTAATGGGATAGATATTGGTATTACCATCATTATCCCCAACTTAGAGATGAGAAAAAATGAAGCATGGGAAAATGAAGTAAATTAACCAAAATTATATTGCTAATTAAAGTATATAACTGGGTTTTGAACCTAGACTCTCTGGCTCTAGAATCCATATTTGTAGCAATCATGGAAAAACATAAGTTATGAATCTTTTTCTTTTGTTAGCCAGTTATGTTTTCTACTTCTTGGTTTTTATAATCTTAATTTCAGGTCTAGGATATGGAAACCATGGGACAATCCTCTAGCAAGTGAAAAATGGGTGAAGCAACATTACATTCTTTTAGTACATATGTATTCAGGTACTTTTACATATACTCTGTGGGAAACTAATGAAAAAAAATGTTTGTGGGACTTCTACGATATTATGGGCCTAATACTAGCCTTTTAATTATTTTTGTAAAATTCTCATACCAGTCGTTGACCTTAAATTTTGGGATTAGAAGCAAGGCTAAAGTAGGTAACGTGAGAATGAATACGTTCACTCTAAAAAACTACAACTCTTTTCCATATTTTCTGAGTTCACATGTTCAATCAAGGAGTTCTCTTTTGATTTTATTTTAAATATTTTGTTCTAAAACTTATGAAGTAATTGCTTGGGAAAGTAAGTTCTTCCCTGGGGTCCAGGCACATTGGGAAGGTGTCTTCATGCTGAATGGCTTTCAGAGGCAGCACGTACATGTTGGGACTGCATCTCAGCCCCGTCAGTGCTGTGGGATGACAGAGCCAGGACACACCCAAGTTATAAGCAACCAAGTGTTACGGGTAAGGGCATTTATACCACCTTCTAAGCATAGAAATACCACCCTCTTGACAATCAACAGTCTCAGTCTGAGACTCCACACTCCAATTTAAGCATTTTATTTTTTCTCATGTTCTTATAGTATCAGGCATTAACTGGGATCTTCAACTAAATTTAAAAAATTCTAACCTAGGCCGGGCGCAGCGGCTCACGCCTGTAATCCCAGCACTTTGGGAGGCCGAGGCGGGCAGTCATGAGGTCAGGAGATCGAGACCACAGTGAAACCCCGTCTCTACTAAAAATACAAAAAATTAGCCGGGCATGGTGGTGGGCTCCTGTAGTCCCAGCTACACGGGAGGCTGAGGCAGGAGAGTGGCATGAACCCAGGAGGCGGAGCTTACAGTGAGCCAAGATGGTACCACTGCACTCCAGCCTGGGCAACAGAGCGAGACTCTGACTCAAAAAAAAAAAAATCTAACCTAGGCA
Source organism: Homo sapiens (assembly GCF_000001405.40). Taxonomy (NCBI): domain Eukaryota; kingdom Metazoa; phylum Chordata; class Mammalia; order Primates; family Hominidae; genus Homo; species Homo sapiens. The sequence continues at coordinate 9,773,556 of NC_000006.12, read as the reverse complement.
GTTCATAAAATGGCTGTGGGAAACTAAGGTTAGTGTTGCACTTCAAATGTGAAGCATCAGTTTTTCAAATGTAAATGATCAGAGAACAGTTTACTTGTGTGATGCCAAGTGGCCAGAGATGCTAGTCATCTTCCAGTGGGCAGAAACAGAAACCCGAGGGAGTCAGTACTTGAGGGGTCTCTCTAGCATATCCTGAGCTACCTAGCCAGGGATAACTTGTTTTCCCCTGGGTACATTAATGGAAGCCTGTCCTGTAAAATTCTCTGGTGAACACATCAGGCATGAGTTAAAGAAAGGTGGAAGAGTATTCCTGCTGGATGGTCTCAGGATTTAGGCTGAATCTAATTTGGAGCTATGATTGTTTTTGAATGATGATAATAGCACTGATGGAAATGAACATGATGTCATATTTATTTGCTTTCATAGTTCAGGCACACCTGGTATTTGTTGTTGTTATCTATGACTTGCAATTCTGTGATCTTATTAACACAAGCCTCTTAGCAGAGTGTTTCCACCGCAAGTTTTCCTCCCCTGCCTTCTTAAAAAATGGTGAGCATCACTTAGGCCAGCATTAAACCTTCCACGGCTGCTCACTTCTGATCTTCCCAGGGCAGTTCAAAAGCATCTGTAATCCTCTGGATTCAGCCCTTTATTCACCATTTCCTCCTTCTAAGGCTTTCTCTTTTGATGAAAACAATCCCCTTGCCCTTCATCTGGCCAGATGGGCAGGTGAACAGTTCTCCCCAAAGACCTACACAAAAACCCTGTGAGGGATTTGGAGAAGAAACGCTGCTAAGTGGAGCTTAACTGTGCTGACACCGTAACACTTTTCCAGTGCCCTGGTATCACTGCCTGTGAACTGCCAGCTCTCTCTGCACTCACAGACTTATCCTCTCACCAGTTCGTGGTCCTCATCCTTCTCTGTAAACTGATTGGCTCGTGAAAGGAGTTATGGCGAAGGGACAGAACCCTCTGTATCCTGAACTAATTTTAAAGTTTCTAACCTAGGCAATATAGGAACCCTTAGCTTTGCTACCTACCAAATGACACAATTAAATAGGGTTGTATGTCGTCGGCTCAGATAACTTTGAGACTTGGCTCCTGTAACATTTTCTTCATAGCAGCTGCAAAGAAATGCCATAATAACTGCACAAGAAATGGAAGGGTGTTCAATATTCAATTGATCACCTATGCTGTATAGGATATGGTACCAGATAATACTTATATCCTTAGTATTGTAAAGCATTTTACATGCTATTCTCACGCCTCCTATAAGAATCATATACATACATAAATTATACATATGTGTAAATTATATGTTATATAAATTATATATGTATAATATTTCTAATGTAATATATATGTTTATCTTCACGATTGTCTTATCTCTATTCTTTAAATTTAAAACTTCAATTCATGGACTTTAAATAATCCATCTGAGTTCACAAAGTAGTAAAAAGACTTGAATGTGTCTTCTGATCACCACCTGACTACCCTTTTTGCTATAGCACTAGATATTTTACATTTTCAAAATTCCTTAAAATACTTTCACCTCTCAATTTGCATTGCATTGGAAGAATGTTCATTCATTGTTTTGTGACCGATGTTGTATTTGACCACCAATATTCACAAACCAGATTTTAGTCTATGAGTTTGAAAATCAGATTCTAAGTTTTAGCAACTTATATTTAAAGATTTGCTTTTGATTTCTGTGGCAGGTCAGTATATGAGTGACAATACACACAACATATACAATGTGATGTTTTGGAATAAATTTGTACCACCAATTTCTATTTTAAAGTATAGATATGAATCTCTTTAAAGACATTGCTGTTGAAAAAAATTAATGATGATGCTCTTAGGGTTCAGAATACAGACAGAATTTATAGTTGTAATGAGGCAGAAAATCTATTTTCTGTCTTCTGAGTGTTGACAATATGGCTCAGGCATTGTTTTTCAGGCATATATTTAAGATATACATTTGTGCTTGGAAGACTGTTTAGATTATGAAAGTGCTTCCATGTGAACAGGCTTCATACATCCTGATACTTACCTGGGAATTTCTCTGCACACACTTACCTTTTGTTTTGGAATCAGAAGTTATTTCTTTGTATTTTTTCCCCTTTTGATCAGTTCTTTGGAGATGAACTAGTTTCCATTACTTTATGTCTTCCCAAAAATCCATCTGAAGGATTTTTTAGTGCATTAATTTAGATATTTCTTAAAGGAAATATAAAAGTTCAAGAAATGTTTGCAGTTTTTAGTATTCACAGATGTTTTTCTTTATGACTTGCCAACTAGAGGTAATGTCCACTGTTGTTATTATAATGTGAGTACTTAATAAAATGGCCTCTAATTGCTATTTCTTGAGATCTACCATATGCTTATAACCATGTTAAGTGCTGCGGAAGACAAAGAAATATACTATAACCTGTTTCTGCTATGAATTTAGTTTGAAGAAACTATGTAGATATTCATAGAGAAACCAAAAAGAAAGCAATTTATGCACTGTGTCATGAAAAACCTCCATCAAATCAGCAGCTTTGGTGGATAAACCAAATTTATGGTATAGTTCTTGGTAGCCATTTCAACCTTCTATTGAATGAGATTGAATAAAGTATCTAAGCAATTCATAAGGAAATGCCATCAAATTGAAATTTTAAATAGTTACAAAGGCTTTTTATCAGCAACCTGGCAAGGTGTGCCAATCAAATATATTTAGTTGGGACAATTCAAAGATCTCATATTTTTTCAAGAATATTGGTACTCTTTAATTTACTTAGGGATGGAGTAATTAAAAATATCAACACTGAATAGTCTACTCAAAAATACTTGTATGCTGTAGAAGCTAAAAAAGATAAAAAGGACCACAATGAAAGGCACTTACTTTAACTTGATATCTGTCATAACTGGATTTTGTTCTTAAGGTAATCAAATTGATCAATTTCATAGTAAAATAAATGAGCCTTGTTGAGTTCACTGGGGATTTGATGACATATCTAATTCACCCGAGTTTCATGCTTAGGTTTTCCTGGCTACAACAACCTGCCAAGCCAAAGCAACATTTTGCGATTTCAAGCTATTCCAACTACGAAGTTGTGCTAAAACTTGTATGGACTAATATCAAGGAATTTCAACCAACTGACCTCTTACAAACAATCATTTAAAACATTTGACAAGGGTCTAAATAAAAGGGAAGAGGAGTTTTAACAAAACTGTCTTATAAATGCAAGTCATGCCTGATTTTCTGCTTCTCTAGACTAATGATTTTCAAACTCCTTATCAGCATGTGGGTTAGGCCATTCTTGCGTTGATATAAAGAAATACCTTAGTCTGGGGAATTTATAAAGGAAAGAGGCTTAATTGGCTTATGCTTGTGCAGGCTGTATCAGCATAGCTGCAGCATGTGCTTCTGGTGAGGACCTCAGGAACCTTGCAGTCATGGCAGAAAGCAAAGCGGGAGCTGGCACATCAAATGGTGAGAGCAGGACCATGAGAGAAATGGGAAAGGTGCCACACACTTTTAACCAACCAGGTCTCACAAGAACTCACTATCTTGAGGACAGCTCCAAGCCAGCCATGAGGGATCCATCACCTTGATCCCAGCACCTCCCACTATGCCCCACCTTCAACACTGGGGATTACATAACATCTCAACCATGTCAGTACCATTTATAGTAAAAGCTTAACAGGAGACCCCAATAAATAAAACAGGTAAAACCCGAGCTTTTATGGTGGGAGAGGAAGAAAGAGCCCTGCTAGGTTAGCTGCTCCCCCTCCCTATTCCCTGCCATAGCAGGGCCCCAAGAACCCTTAGTTGAGCCACAGGGCTCAGTCTGCCTTCTGGACCCATCATCACAGGTTACAAAATTTTCTCAAGTTCTAGTAAGGAGCTCCGTAGACATTATGCAATTCCTGTGCTTAAATGGATGCTGTTGAGAATCACAGGCTGGGGGACTCAGGAGCTATTGGCGACAATGCTAGAATGAAGTAACCTGCCAGAGCACAGAACAGAGGCAAAGAGAGTCCTGGTAGCCTTCAAGTCCTTGATTCCGGTGTTCTTGAAATTCAGCAGAATTTCCTTCTCTCTGCCTTCTCCATAGACTTGTTGTTCAAACCTACCTTCAAATTACTCTGTTGAGAGCTAGTTCAAGTTGCATTTATTCCACTTGCACCCAGAAGTCCTGATTCAATACAAATACTGTGACCATCATTATGTTTGTCTTTCCATTCTGACAACATTTACATAAGCTGTCCCATGTGAAATAATACAAAAGTGAACATGTCGTGGTCTCTGCCATTACAGAGATAAAAATTTAGTGAGGGTATCTGGAGCATAAAGCAATAATTTCAATGCAAAACCCATGCCTAACGATGCTTCTTTATGATCAATGATTCTATAAGTCATTCTGGGGAAAATGTCACTGAAACTAGGTGAACTTTCAATCTGCTATTAATAAAACACTTCATTTTTTTCATATTTGTTAATTTCTTTGACAAGGGAGATAGCCTGACGGATCATTCTGTGAAAGGAAAATCAACTGTTTGGAGAATTGGAGAAGCTGAAGATTATTCACAGGACATATCTTACTTGGAGGAACTGGAGGAACACCGATTTTCTGTTTGGTGAGTCACTATATCCTTTCTTTCCATTGTCAAATTTAAATTTATTGACTCCAGCAAGAATTATTATTTTATTATTTGTTTATTCAAAATATTGATTGCCTTCCTATTGTAGGCTATAGAATGTGTACTCTGACTTCAGAAAGTTCATAGTCCAATGAGGAATATTAATGTTTAAAAACATCAATGTGATCTGATGATGGTATTTTTAAAAATTGCTCGAAGTGCAACATGCGCACACAGAGAAGATGATGGCTAAATTTACTAGAGAATGGGGAAGGGTTCTCAAAAAAAGTTTGAGCCAAGTCTTGGGGAGAAGATTGTAATCAAGAAATGGTGACAAATTGGTGTGGGCAGAGTCCAGAGATGGAATTAGGGGGATAGTTGGGTTTGACACATGCTGGATCCCTTAGTTCACTTAAGATCTAAGCAGGTCATAATTACTGCTCTCTCTACTTGGTGATGTGTTTACGGGTGTATCTGTTTCTGTGAACGCACATATAACTGATATGGAAGAGAAGTGCTGGGACGGGAAGGGCGTGGTCCCTTTAAATGATACAGAAGCGGGGAAGGGTGTGGTTCCCGGCTAGGGCTCCACCCCCAGGCCTGTGCCCATGGACCTAGGTGAGGACAGGCATTTTTGTTTTCCTGCCCAAATGTTGCATTTTCACCCTGGCCTGCCACACCAACATCCTGTGCCTAAAAAAACCCCCAAGACCCTAGCAGGCTGACACACAGGTGGCTGGACGTAGAGAGGAGCACATCAGCAGAGGAACACATGGGTGGCTGGATGTCGAGAGGGACACACTGACAGGCACCAACAGGCTGGCAGGCCACTGACTGGCAGAATGGCACACAGTTTGGCTGGGGCAGTCAGAGGAGAGCCTGGGCTGCCTTTCTCCAAGAGAAATCCTTTCCATTCCATCCCTTTCTGGCTTCCCCCATCTGCTGAGAGCTACCTCCACTCAATAAAACTTTGCATTCATTCTCCAAACCTAGGTTTGATCCGATTCTTCCAGCACACCAAGGCAAGAACCTGGGATACAGAAAACCCTCTGTCCTTGCGACAAAGTAGAGGGTCTAATTGAGCTGGTTAACACAAGCCGCCTATGGAAGCTAAACCAAAAGAGCACTCTGTAACACATGACCACTGGGGCTTCAGCTGTAAACATTCACCCCTAGACACTGTTGTGGGGTCAGAGCCCCAAAGCCTGCCCATCTATATGGTCCCCTAGAGGTTTGAGCAGCGGGGCACTGAAGAAGCAAGCCACATCCCCATTGCATGCCCTGCAAGGGGACAAGGGAACCTTTCCTGTTTCCTAACAAACAAACAAAAAAAAGCATGAAAGAGTGGGCAATGGATCTTCTCAGAGGTAAGGAGTACAGAATTTTGCAATGGTGGTGTCCATCAATGGTGGTGAGGAGGAATGACAGTGGCCATGTGACATGAAGAGTGACCTTGGAAAGAAGAGATGGTACCTAGTCAAAGTCATTCATACCTACCCATGGCCTCCCTGCCCACCCCAAGATCTATTCCTGAAATTCTTTTTCCACTGGGGATTTATCTGATTTGGTTCTCAGAATTTACTTTCACTCTTCCATCCTGGAACCACCATCGGAAAACATGGTATCAGCTCAAGTTTCCTGTGCCCAGTCACATTTTTTAGAACTCCCATTGATCTTAACTTAGAACTCTAAATGCTTTCACCAGTGCTTTCCTGATGCTGCCAGAGTGTGGTATTCAGGCCAAAGAGTGAGTTGTTTTCCAGATTAAGAGAAGCAGGGTCTGTGACTGAGAAGCATCAGGCATAAAGGGAAGCTACAGAGCTCAAAGACAAGAAACACGCATGGCTCTCCTAGAAAGAAAACATGTACAAGAGATGCTATTTGCTAGTAAGAAAAAGGCATGCTCCCTATTCTTCAGAAACTCTGTGATAGTCTCTAAGGGGAGTAGTGACATACTTGTTAGATTAGATTCAATAAAATAACTTCCAGAACAGAGGTTTTAGGTGCTTACTTTGATGTATGTAGATGAGTGATATGGTTTGGCTATGTTCCCACCCAAATCTCATCTTAAATTGTAGTTCCCATAATCCCCATGTGTTGTGGGAGGGACGAGCTGGAGATAATTGAATCATGGGGGCAGTTTCCCCCTTCCTGTCCTCCCGATAGTGAGTTAGTTCTCATGAGATCTGGTGGTTTTCTAAGGGGGTTCCCCCTTCACTGAGTACTCATTCATTCTCCTTTTTGCCACCCTGTGAAGAAGGATGTGTTTGCTTCCCCTTCTGTCCTGATTGTAAGTTTCCTGAGGCCTCCCTGGCCATGCTGAACCGTGAGTCAATTAAATCTCTTTCCTTTATAAATTATCCAGTCTTGGGTAGTATATTTGTAGCAACGTGGGAACAGACTAATGCAATGAGAGGGCTGGAGCTTCTGGTGAGTCATATGCTAAGTTCTTAGTTCTTATTCGGGGTTCACCAGGGCTGGAGGAAAAGCTTCATTAAGCCCTCAGGCTCCCAGCTCTTCCATTTCTCCTGTTTTCCAGGCCTTCTCTGATGACTCAGCTCCCTGTTGCCCTTTGGGAATGACCTTTCAGAGTCTAGAATATGCAGTGTCACAATGCGGTTATTATCTTATGTGTTAAGTTAAAAGGCTGAAGGGTTTCCCAGGATCTCAGAGCTTCAGTTCCTGATTGATCCTTTAAGATGCTTTACTCTCAGGCACTATGCCTTCAGTTGGTGTCCTCTGATGCTCTAAGAAGGCCAGATGCTGGCAATTACAGCTCCTGGGGCCAAATCCTGTTCTCCCTCTGCGTTTGTAAATAAAGTTTAATTGGAACTCAGACACATTCATTTGGTTATGTGTTGTCTTTGGCTGTTTTCCTCTGCAATGGCAGAATTACGTCCTTGAGACAAAGACAGTGTGGCCCACAAAACCTAAATTATTTACTATTTGGGTCTTTCCCAAAAAAGTTTGCCCACCTCTGCTCAACACTGACTTAAATGCTTCTCCGCTGCTCTCTCGTGATGCCACTCACAGTACTTTTAAATTTTAAAAGTCATTTATTTTCTAATTGACAAGTAAAAAATGTATATATTTATGGTGTATAACGTGATGCTTTGAATTATGTATACTTTTTGTAATTGTTAAGTCAAAGTATTTAACATATGCATTTCCTCTCATAATTATGTTTTTCTTGTGGGAACACTCTCTTACTAATTTTCAAGTATACAATATATTGCTATTAATTGTAGTCACCATCTTGTACCATAGGACTTTTGCACTTATTCTTCTTGTCCAACTGAAATTTTGTATCCTTTGACCTACAACATTCCAACCTCCCCATTCCTCGGCCTCTGGTAATCATACTTCTACTCTCTGCTTCTGTAGGCTCAACTTTTTAGATTCCACATATAAATAAGATCATGCAGTACTTCTCTTTCTGTGCCTAGTTTATTTCACTTAACATAATGTCCTTCATGTTCATCTGTGTTGTCACAAATAACAGAACTTTCTTCTCCTGTAAGGCTAAATAGTATTTCAGTTGTGTTTATATGCTGTATTTTTTATCCATTCATCCATCAATGGACATGTAGGATGCTTGTGTATCTTGGCTATTGTGAATAATGCTGCAATAAATATGGGAACACTCGCATTATTTTAAAGATATTTGTATGCTTGTTTCCCTCTCCACGCTGAGCTCCTTATGCATTTTGGTCATGCTAAATCACTAAACCACTTTCAAGGCTTCATTTCTTGAAACAACCATTTTATTTGCTCACAATTCTGAGGGCTGGGAATTCAGGCAAGACATAATGGAAAGCTCTTCTTTTGGTCAAAATAAGTCTCAAGGCTAGCAAGAGAAGGAATAGACTTCCCTCTTGATGCAGGAGTGGAAAGGTGATATTGCAAAAGGGCATGTTGGAATGGAAGATATTGTGTGGCCATCTTTAGAAACAGTCCACAACATTTTGCTTCATTCATTTCTGTGGGCACAGTTCCTCTCATAGGGTTCAAATAGTTGCTGAACGAAACAAGTTAAAGGAACCAAAAAGGTGTAGTCTCTGTAGATAGATGAACATGAGTATGAATTCCAGTTCTGCCACTGCTGTGTAATCATGAACAATTTGTCTGAGCTCTCTAAGGCTGCCTTCTCCTGTGTCAAACTAGAATAATAATATCTGTGTCTTGGGATTTGATGGATATTGTGAAAGTTGAGAGATAAGGTACAGAAGATATTCTTACAGCAACTAAAACACATAGATTTTTAATAAAGGCAATTATTATTAACATTATTAATAACCCATTTTAAGGAAATACATTTTCCAAGGGTTAAAATAGAGGGCATAGGTCACTCTGAGATGATTTATCACTTTCTATGTCTGCCTTTCTTTCTGTTCTTCAGACACACTGAATGCTTGATGACATCAGCGCCTTTCCACTTTATCTAGCATGTTCTGCCTGTTCCTAGCGATGTGATTGGAGGTTGCAGCATCCACTTTATGTCCCAGAGAAGCCTTTCCTGACTCTCTATGCAAAGTGGGACCCACCTCTATTTTGGCAATTTGCTTTTTCATCACCTTGTTGGTTTCCTTTAAAGTACTTAACCCCAATATAAAATAATCTTTCCTGTTTATTTCATTGATTTGTTCATTTCTGTTTCCTCTGACTAAACAGAAGCTGTAGGCAGGAATCCCCCTTATCTGGTCACTCCTAGGTCTCCAGGTCCTAGCTTTAGGGTACCTGGTACATAATATGACCAGCAAATACTTACCGAATGAGTGAATAGAAGGAGGAATACGTGATCACTTCTCTCTCTCTCCCAGACCCCTTCGCTATTATACCTATTTATTGACTTCCAATCTCTCCCTTCTCTTGAAACTGCTACCATTAAAAAAAGGGTAATATGGGATAATTAACCACTATACACATTTCTTTTTAAACCAGGGGTTGAGGATATGGGGGCTGCTGAAACCTCTATAAATGTCTGTTTTAAATGGTTTGAGATACAATCTGAACAATTTCCTTGATGTTTTATTAGAGCTGGTAAATCATTTATTGGGGCAGCCTTTACCTAAATCCTCTCCAAATCCCCATAAAATGCATTTAACACAGAATACTGTACTACCCAGCTTCAAAGATATTATATGATGTCGGGTGGGAAGCATTTGCTGCAGTGCAGCAAGTTTAAATATGTATGTTTTCTTTCTTTCTGTCTGATGTGCTCTATCTCCTACCCCCAACTCACTCCTCCCTTTTCCTCCAGCACTCATTTGAATATCCCAATGTTGGTGAATTTGGTAGATTGTGAAAACTTCAGGAGGTTCTAATACATATTTTTGATGTATAGGACTCTTAGCTAATCAAATGCAAGTTTATTTCATTTGTAGCTGCAAATAATTTTATAAAAATGGCTTCTGAAACCTAATTTTAAGACTGTCGTACTTTTTTTCTCAACCAAAAAGATACTCAGCTGAGTTGCCGCTAATGACATCCCTCTTCCTGCACATCTCACTCTAGTTGGTCAGCTGCCAGCAGGGTCAGGTAATCTTAGGTGACAATCTTTGGGATAGTCCCTGAGAGGATGTGCATCCTGACTGCCTTTTTTGTCAGCTGCAAGACCTCTATTCACAAGATGTTTACATTTTTACTTTGAGATATATTCCTGTGTGACAGGTTGACTATCTTTTGCTTATGTGTTGGATAATATGAAATGCCCAAGATATTCCTCAATATTTTTATAAATTGCAAGCACTGAATACATGTTTGTTGAAATAATATACAAAAAGTTAGGGTAAAATAAGAAATATTGGTATTGCCAGAAGAAAGTTCTGGAGAAAAGGCCAGTGGTACAAAATTTGAGGATGACTTTAGATGTTCTGAGTCAGATTGTCTGTGGTGGCTCTCATTTCTTCCTGGTGGACATGTTTCTTTCCCAAAAGTGCCTTTGCTTCCCCTCTTTTCTGATTAACAGATCTCCCCTCACCTCACACATACTCCATGGGGTTGGGCATGATATATGTTATGTTCCTATGACCACTATGATTGGCCCAGGGGTGGGCATGTGATCTGAACCAGGCCACCCAAATCCTTCCCTGGAATTTTATATTCTATTACTTAGAAATAGAGATTCCTTCTTCTCTCCCAGGTACTAAGCTGCAGTGATTTCAGTTTAATGCTCCCTATGGCCAAGGCTACTGTTTTGCTAGTTATGCTTCCTCTACTACCTCTTGTTAACATTTATAATTTCTATCCTACTTGAAACCAGTAGCTGTAGGAGCCCTACTGATACTTTGTAGGTGACACATGTATGTTCTGTCCTACAGAAAAGAAAATGAACAGTTGAATTCTAAAAATTATATGTTAGACATGAGTATATAGAGATAAATGGCATATCTATAGATAGATAGATAGATAGATAGATAGATAGATAGATAGATAGATAGATATATGTGCATTTCAGGTCAAAAAAGATACTGTCCACTGGGAAGCTTTAATTATTATTATTTTCTGAGTGAAAGGACTTCAGGGAGAATGTTTACAATGTCCATTCAGTTAATTATGCAAATAGCCACTCATTTGCCTGTGTAAACAGAGCTATAGAATCCATTCCCTGTGGAGTGAATTGGGTTCCCTGCTTCGTAATGCAGTACCTTAATCTTTGTATAGTGATTTCTCCAAAGAAGTAAGCCAGATTATGTGATAAGTACCTCTGGAAATTGCACTAAAGACTGTTTCAAAACAGTAGATGTCACTCCAGTGGTTTAAAGAAGTTAACATAGTTTTCAGAGGTACCTAACTCCTAAATGGGGAGAAGGTTCAGTAACAAGACAATCTTAAAATGTTTCCATTAGTATTCAAATGTAACTTCGTGGGTAAGCAACCAGAGAACCACATATTTGTAGAGCAGAAAGGGGTTTTGGGATTATTTGGTTCAGCCTTGCCAGTTTATACAAGTATAAAGCTGGGACCTACAGAAGCTAAGTGACTTGCCTTAGGTCATCCAGCTAATAAGAAGTGGAAATGACACTAGAACACACTTCCTTTCCATTTCAATTCAGTCCCAATCATAAAAAGTAAATTCTCCCTAGAACTCTGCTAGTCTTTTCGTAGTTTCCTGTTTCTATCAATTTCAAGCTTCTTTGATATATATCAATGCATTGATGAGAGTGCTGATTTGGGGGAAAATGCATATGATGGACTTACCTCTGTGGCAAGTCTCCTCCCGGCTACAAAGGTAGGGAATAGGCATATGCCCAGATGTTTGCAAAGTGCACATTGCTGACCACACAGGCTGAGCTCTTTTTGTGTTCTCGGCCAGTTGTCTATGTCGCTGACCTGACTGTACTGCTTAGGGGAGGTATGGGTTAACTACACATCACAACAGGAAAGTTATTCTTTAATAAAACTGATACACTTTCCTTTTTATAACACACATGTGATTTGACATTGAAATAAAATGCAGATGCTTCTTTGATTGGCGTATTCCCTGTTGTGCTTTTCTGAAACACCTTCACATATGGTCTGCCTCATTCCTGAGAAATGACTTGTTGTTTATGTCATACAAACAGAACAGATTGATTTTACAGTGAGTAAGGAGGTTGATGAATTGTACATTGGAGAGAAATCTTTGTCTCGGCAATCCAAACACTTGAAAATAAATGTTGCCTTTTGGAAAAGGCTCTCATGATACAACCATGATCCCTTTATTTCATGCCCCCTTTATAGGGGTTAAATAGATACAACACATGCAATCTCAGCAACAAAAAAGGTAGTTACAGTCACCTCAAAATATAATTTTTCTTCTTGCTTTGAAACATATCCTGAAACCTAACAGGTCAAAAAATGTCAGACTCGTCCCAAAGGAACAAACCCTAAATATTAACTTCAACATTGTGTCTGCACTATGACCAGAATGAAACATTCCTGATATTTGGTAGGAGAGCAGTACTCTTTTCTTATTTATCAACTGAATCTTAAATATAAAATTCTTATGCTAAGAAGTCTTCTTAAGGGCCTCCAACTTTCATTCCTTCAGAATTATTTTGTGCAATACGGTGAAAGCAATGTGCGCTCATTCCTCTGATTAGCTAACCATATCCATGGGTGCAGAATTTTAGTTTATAAATCTCTTTTCCACAGTTTTTTCATTTGGTGCTCAGAACACCCTTGTGATACTCTTATTCCCATTTTACAGATTATATATCTGAAGTCCAGAGACATTAGGTGGCTAATTTACCAATACTCAACTAGTGCATCTATGCTCTTTTCATATGGCGTGGAATTCTCTAACTAGTCTCAGATTCATACATAGACATTAGTTCATGCGTTCTGCAGTTTTAAAAATATAATGTCTTAAGTTGTATTCTACTGGCATGTTCTGCAGAGTTCAGTGGGTGTGGAGTGAGAATGAGATGCCATGCGGAGGGAAGCAAAGTCGGCTCTAGAATGGTTCATCAGAGCAAAATAACTATGGAGATCTATTCCTGACAGTAATTTATCAATGATGCACGTATAATTAGGGATTGAGTGATCTTTATTAGATGTGGCTAATGCATGACCATATATTTGTACTGAGAGGGAATAAGTCATGGTGGCTAAGAATACAGGCTCTGGGAACATAGTACCTAAACTCAAACAAATTAGCTTTACAAATTTCTAGTTGAGTAAACTTAGACAGGTTTCTCAAACTCTTTTTATCCGAATTTCTTTATCTGTACAAATGAAGCTAGAGGTACCAGCCTTATTTTAGTGAATTCAAATATGTATATAAAAACTAGAATAGTATAAATGCTCAAAGTATATAGCAAATGCTCAACAAATGTTAGCTATTACTATTATTGATACTAGTATTATCTTTTAGAGACAGAGTCTCAGTCTGTTGCCCAGGATGGAGTGCAGTGGCACAAACACAGCTCACTGCAACCTTGAACTCCTGGGCTCAAGCAATCCTCCTGCCTCAGCCTGCCTAGTAGTTGGGACTACAGGCATGCACCACCATGCCCAACTAATGTTTGTAATTTTGTGTACGGATGAGATCTTGCTATGTTGCCCAGGCTGGTCTTAAACTTCTGTCCTCAAGTGATCCTCCCACTTTGGCCTCCCAAAGCACTGGGATTACAGGTGTGAGCCACCATGGCTGGCCCTAGCTATTATTACTAGCTGAGGCTCTGTCCTCTCTGCTACTCTTCACAACTCTCTGCTCTCCAGCCTATATTTTAACTATTAAAATAATGACCTGCTTGTTTTGGGGAAACATGCAAAGCATTTGGTAGTAACTAAAATATCTTCAGTGTAAAAATAAGATGTTAATGGTAGAGGGGAGATACCAGGGGAGTAAACATAATGTGTTGGTTTTCTATTGCTGTAAAACAAATTACACAAACTTGGCAGCTTAAAACAACACATTATTTTTAATCGTATAGTTTCTATAGGTCAGGAGTCTGAGCATAGCTTAACTGGGTCCTCTGCTTAGGGTCTTACAAGGCTGTAATCAAGATTTTGTTTGTGCTGTGCTTCATCTGGAGGCTCAACTTGGGGAGCAATCCCCTTCACACTACTTTGGGTTGTTGGCAGAATTGATTTCTTGGTGGCTGTATGTTGGGGCGGTGGGTGGGGGGACAGCTTTTTACTATCCATGGCTAGAAGGCTGATCACAGTTTCCAGAGGACACCTATAGTTCCAGGCAATATGGTCTTCTCTATGGCCTCTTACTTTATGAAGCCAACAAGGAGAGTCTTTCATTCAAGGAGGGCCAGTGTTTCTTTCAAAGGCTTTTATCCAGTTAAGTCAGGACCACTCAGGGTAGTCTCCCGTTTGGTTTCAAAACCAGCTGATTGGGAGCCTAATTACCTCTGCAAAATCTTTTCACCTTTGCCATTTTCAATTGGCCAGAAGCAAGTCATAGGTCCCACCCACACTCTAGGAGAGAGGATCACACGGGGTAGGAATACCAAGGGGCAGAAATTACAGGGGCCAATCACTGGATCCTAGTCTGTCTGCCCAACATAGGGAGGCAATGACACAGGCTGCTGCTCTTTGGAGTGGGTGGTAACTCTCTCCCTACTGGTGCATGTGAAGGATTCTAATCCAGTTTGCCTTTTAGGTGACATTCACATCTGCTTCTTTCCTGTGGGTGGGCCTGAGGCTGACACGGCATATGTTCCCTGTTGATTTCTCAGGGCCTAACTCCTTTGCTCCAAAAGCTTCCTTCTTCCTCTCAGAAGACTTTTTATTTTCACTCTACTTTCTTTATTGCCTTGATCATATGAGCACAAAACACCATTTTCTTCTGTAGCCCCTCTCCTGCTCAGACGTGCTATCTCCTCTGCACATTGATTTTGGCACTATTTTTATGAATATGATTTTCTCTTTTGATTTTAAGCTTTATATCTATTTTCTCGGTGGGGAGGGGGTCAGTGCTGTTGGTGCTCAGTGAACTCATTTTAAAAGCTATTCCCTAACAGGATGTCTTCCTGGCAATCAACTTTTAAAATATGGCTAAGAAGCCATAACAGCTCCGATAAATGATCTCAGTTCATGGATACCGTAGTCCACTAGATTTCTAGATAGATAAGAAAAATGACATCACCTTACCCCCATCTATGTCTCCATAAGGAAAATAACAATGAAGAATGTAGTTATCACGGACATCACTAGGGCAATTAAGGCTTTGATCCCTGTAACTTCCCTTATGTTTGAAAGCAGGTACGTTTTGTGTTGGACACTGTTGGTTGCACCTCAGCAGCCATCTTGTCTCCCATCTTTCTTACTGGGGACAGTGCCTTCAATGGTTGAAAATAGTAGATATGTTCCCAGTCCACCATGCCCTATGGGTGGTCATAGATGCAGTTCTGATCAATAAGATGTGAGAGGATATTGGCTTGGGCTTCCTTCTTTCAGAAGGGAAACAGGGAAGAAGAACCCTTTTTCCCCACCCTCTTATTTCTTCCCACTTGAATCATTGCTATAAGGATATGATATTGGAAGCTTCTGCAGACATCTTGCATTATGAGAGGAGGAAAATGAGAGAGAATTCAACCCAGCATTCTGCTGTGTGGAGCCACTGCTTATCACCCACTTCTACCTATTTGAAAGTTTCTTTCACATGAGATAATTAAATGCGTTATTGTTCAATACTCTTGGATGAGCATTCTGTTGCTCATGGCCGAAAGCAATCTTACTGAGACAATTAACCTGTATACATGTAATCCTGAGTGGTGGACCCTCACCCCCATTGAAGAGCAGCTATTCATGCTTTCATTCAGTATTTAATAGGTTTACATGATATCCTGTATTCTGGACTTGTAATATTAGAATTTTTTCATATTATCTGGGATCCACCAGAGCATAGCATATAACTAGTTGCTTTTTAGCTCAGTTCTATTTGGAAAATGAGCACAGTATGGTGCAGGAGATTCTTCTCCACAGATACCACACTGATTCAGTTGGAGAGATGGAGAATGAGGTGAATAGAATTAATTTAGCCAACTGTCTGGAAACCTAACATGACATCACTGATAAGATTTAAATATCCAGGAGCTTCAGATTATGAGTCAATCCAAATCCAAGCTGCATGATTTAAATGATGAAAGGGCAAAGCTGGGCAGGAAGCAATGTAGAGATTTATTTGATGCAAAAACTCACATTACCAGTAAAATAGATAATGTTCTGTTGTAATAGTTTGCAAACAACAGCAAGAAAACAATTGAATGGGTGTATTTTGAGCTTCAGGCATTGTAAATTCTTTCACTCTCATATACTTTATGCCTTCTTTAATAAAGTGGAGAGTCTTGGGCCAGCTTCATTGGTGACGGTAGGTGGTCATTCATTTCACAATCCACTAATTTTCATGATTATTCAGTATTTTATGTTACCTAAACTGCTTTGGATTTTGTCTTACTCAAATTGTAATATGGCAGTAGTTTATATGATTTCAGAATCATTAATTCAGTTGGCGGTCTC